>NT_187514.1:0-109528 GCF_000001405.40 Homo sapiens | reverse complement strand
GATCCGAGCAGAACTGAAGGAGATAGAGACACAAAAAACCCTTCAAAAAAATCAATGAATCCAGGAGCTGGTTTTTTGAAAAGATCAACAAAATTGATAGACCACTAGCAAGACTAATAAAGAAGAAAGAGAGAAGAATCAAATAGATACAATAAAAAATGATAAAGGGGATATCACCACTGATCGCACAGAAATACAAACTACCATCAGAGAATACTATAAACACCTCCATGCAAATAAACTAGAAAAATCTAGAAGAAATGGATAAATTCCTGGACACATACACTCTCCCAAGACTAAACCAGGAAGAAGTTGAATCCCTGAATAGACAAATAACAGGCTCTGAAATTGTGGCAATAATCAATAGCTTACCAACCAAAAAAAGTCCACGACCAGATGGATTCACAGCCGAATTCTACCAGAGGTACAAGGAGGAGCTGGTACCATTCCTTCTGAAACTATTCCAATCAATAGAAAAAGAGGGAATCCTCCCTAACTCATTTTATGAGGCCAGCATCATCCTGATTCCAAAGCCTGGCAGATACACACAAAAAGATGATTTTAGACCAATATCCTTGATGAATATCGATGCAAAAATCCTCAATAAAATACTGGAAAACCGAATCCAGCAGCACATCAAAAAGCTTGTACACAATGATCAAGTGGGCTTCATTCCTGGGATGCAAGGCTGGTTCAACATACACAAATCAATAAAAGTAATCCAGCATATAAACAGAATCAAAGACAAAAACCACATGATTATCTCAATAGATGCAGAAAAGGCCTTTGACAAAATTCAACAGCCCTTCATGCTAAAAACTCTCAATAAATTGGGTATTGACAGGATGTATCTCAAAATAATAAGAGCTATTTATGACAAACCCACAGCCAATATCATACTGAATGGGCAAAAACTGGAAGCATTCTCTTTGAAAACTGGCACAAGACAGGGATGCTCTCTCTCACCACTCCTATTCAACATAGTGTTGGAAGTTCTGGCCAGGGCAATCAGGCAGGAGAAGGAAATAAAGGATATTCAATTAGGAAAAGAGGAAGTCAAATTGTCCCTGTTTGCAGATGACATGATTGTATATCTAGAAAACCCCATCATCTCTGCCCAAAATCTCCTTAAGCTGATAAGCAACTTCAGCAAAGTCTCAGGATACAAAATCAATGTGCAAAAATCACAAGCATTCTTATACACCAGTAACAGACAAACAGCCAAATCATGAGTGAAGTCCCATTCACAATTGCTTCAAAGAGAATAAAATACCTAGGAATCCAACTTACAAGGGATGTGAAGGACCTCTTCAAGGAGAACTACAAACCACTGCTCGGCGAAATGAAAGAGGACACAAACAAATGGAAGAACATTCCATGCTCATGGATAGGAAGAATCAATATTGTGAAAATGGCCATACTGCCCAAGGTAATTTATAGATTCAATGCCATCCCCATCAAGCTACCAATGACTTTCTTCACAGAATTGGAAAAAACTACTTTAAAGTTCATATGGAGCCTAAAAAGAGCCCACATTGCCAAGTCAATCCTAAGCCAAAAGAACAAAGCTGGAGGCATCATGCTACCTGACTTCAAACAATACTACAAGGCTAGAGTAACTAAAACAGCTTGGTACTGGTACCAAAACAGAGATATAGACCAATGGAACAGAACAGAGCCCTCAGAAATAATACCACACATCTACAACCATCTGATCTTTGACAAACCTATCAAAAATAAGAAATGGGGAAAGATTCCCTATTTAATGAATAGTGCTGGGAAAACTGGCTAGCCATAATGTAGAAAGCTGAAACTGGATCCCTTCCTCACACCTTCTACTAAAATTAATTCAAGATGGATTAAAGACTTAAATGTTAGACCTAAAACCATAAAAACCCTAGAAGAAAACCTAGGCAATACCATTCAGGACATAGGCATGGGCAAGGACTTCATGGCTAAAACACCAAAAGCAATGGCAACAAAAGGCAAAATTGACAAATGGGATCTAATTAAACTAAAGAGCTTCTGCACAGCAAAAGAAATTACCATCAGAGTGAACAGGCAACCTACAGAATGGGAGAAAATTTTTGCAATCTACTCATCTGACAAAGGGCTAATATCCAGAATCTACAAAGAACTCAAACAAATTTACAAGAAAAAAACAAACAACCCCATCAAAAAGTAGGTGAAGGATATGAACAGACACTTCTCAAAAGAAGACCTTTATGCAGCCAACAGACACATGAAAAAATGCTCATCATCACTGGCCATCAGAGAAAAGGAAATCAAAACCACAATGAGATACCATCTCACACCAGTTAGAATGGTGATCATTAAAAAGTCAGGAAACAACAGGTGCTGGAGAGGATGTGGAGAAATAGGAACACTTTTACACTGTTGGTGGGACTGTAAAATAGTTCAACCATTGTGGAAGACAATGTGGCAATTCCTCAAGGATCTAGAACTAGAAATACCATTTGACCCAGCCATCCCATTACTGGGTATATACCCAAAGGATTATAAATCATGCTGCTATAAAGACACATGCACATGTATATTTATTGTGGCACTATTCACAATAGCAAAGACTTGGAACCAACCCAAATGTCCATCAATGATAGACTGGATTAAGAAAATGTGGCACATATACACCATGGAATACTATGCAGCCATAAAAAATGATGAGTTCATGTCCATTGCAGGGACATGGATGAAGCTGGAAACCATCATTCTCAGCAAATTATCACAGGGACAAAAAACCAAACACTGCATGTTCTCACTCATAGGTGGAAATTGAACAATGAGAACACTTGGACACAGGAAGGGGAACATCACACACTGGGGCCTGTCGTGGGGTGGGAGGAGTGGGGAGGGATAGCATTAGGAAATATACCTAATGTAAATGATGAGTTAATGGGTGCAGCACACCAACATGGCACATGTATACATATGTAACAAACCTGCACATTGTGCACATGTACCCTAGAACTTAAAGTATAAAAAAAGTAAAAAAAAAAAAAACCTCCTGTGCCTTGCCACTATTTTTTTAGCGTGATCCCAAATCCATACCATGGCCCTGAGGCCTTGATTGAATTTGCCATCTCACCTCCTCCCTATCCTGTGCACCCACTCAACCCCCAGCCACAGTGGCCCTTGCCCCATTCCTCACACATGCCCAGCTTCTTCTCACCTCAGGGGCATTGTGCTTTGTTCATCCCTCTGCCCAGAAGGCTGTTTCCATGCCCTTTGGATGCGTCTTTACTTCTTATTCTTCTGATTTGAGCTTAAATGCCTCATTTTGACCCTGTAATCTCCCTCCCCAAGAGGACCCTGTGTCAGAGGCACCAGTTGCCCCCATTTGTCCTCTTTTTCCATAGAAACAGCAGGCATGGGTGTCACTGAGGCCATAACCATGCAGAACAGGGAGAACACTTCTCCTTCCCCACTGGATGGCTGGAGTAGTCATGTGCCCCTGCCTGGCCAATGGGATGCAAGGCTGAGATGTGTGCCCTAATGGGCACTGCAGTCACCCAGGGAGAGATGACGGTGCCTGGACTGAGCTGTATGCAATGGCAGTGCGGAGAGGCAGTCAGATTCTGGGTGTATTTTGAAGACAGAGTTAGCATAGTCTGCTCCAGGATTTGACATGGGGGGTGAAAGAAGGAGAGAAGTAAAGGTGGCCTCAAAGTGTGGTCTGGGCAGCCAAGAGAAAGAGTTGGCTTTAGCTGAGCTGGGGACACTCCTGGGGAGGAAGATGTGGAGTTCACTTTGGGCCATGGTGGATCTCTGATGTTTGATAGACATCCAGCTAGAGAGAGGAATAGGAATCCAGGCACCCAGAGTCGGAGGAGATGTAAATTTGAGAGTTGTCAGTGTATAGACGGTTTTCGAAACCACAAGACTGGATGGCATCCCCAAGGGCACAAGTGTAGACAGTAGATGAATAAAGTCCAATCCTCAACATTAAGAGGTTAGAGACTGAGACAGCCAGGGAGGTTTCCCAGAAGCCAATGAAGGACATAGTTCAGGGACGGGAAATGGCCAGCTGTGTCAAGGGAATGAACATGCCAAGTCTGCTGAGGACTTAGGGTTGATACTGCATTCAGCAACGTGGAGGTCATAGGTGACATGAAGATCATAGGTGATGTGGAGGCCATAGATGATGTGGAGGCCATAGATGATGTGTAGGTCATAGGTGATGTAGAGGTCATAGGTGATGTGGAGGTCACAGGTGATGTGTAGGTCATAGGTGACTTGGAGGCCATAGATGATGTGGAGGTCATAAGTGATGCAGAGGTCACAGATGATGTGGAGGTTATAGGTGATCCAGAGGTCATAAGTGATATGGGGGTCATAGATGATGCAGAGGTCATAAGTGATACGGGGGTCATATGTGGCATACAGCCATTGGTGGAGTGGTAGGAGTGAGAGCTCAAGGGGAGAGGAATTGGAGCCAGGGATAGCAGACAGCTCCTTGGAAGCATTTTCTTGGGGAAGTGTTACAGAATATGGCAGAAAGGGTGGCAATGTCAAGACAAGAGCCAGCCACACACTCTGCACAGTGGCCAGCAGCTTTGCTCTTCACCCTCTTGGATGTTGAGCTCCTTGAGGGCGGGAAGCTCATCTGTTTTGTCCTTATGTGTCCATCACCCAGTGAAGGGCTGGGTGATGCGGTCGGGCAATATCGGCAAGAGGGAGAGAGGAACGGAGGGAGGCTGGACCTACGTGCCCGACAGACCAGGGGACTTGCGTGGCCTATCGGAGGAGCTGGGGAGGTGGGCTGTGTATTAGGAGGAGCACCAGCTCCAGAACCCACAGGCCAAGGTCCCGCCCCCAGCTCCCCCCCCCACCAGCCAAGCGACCTTGCAGTCCCCTAACCACCCCACAATAAACATAACTGAACCTATCTGCAGGATTGGTTGTGAGGTCTAGGGACAAAATATTTTAAAAGAGCCAGCATAGTCCCTGGTGACGTAACTGGCCCTCAATAAAGGGCATCTCACGCCATAATACTGAAGCCCCTGGATAATGAAAATGGTGACAGTCACTTTTCGTTTAGTGCCTATTCCTGTGTTATGTGTCCTACACCCTTTGGCTCTTTCTTACTCCATACAGCAGCTCTTTAAAGCGGGGATTCCTACCCCTCCATTTTGGAGACAAGACATGGAGGCTCAGGGAAGTGAGTTTACTCAGCCAAGGTCACCTGGCCAATATATGGCAGAGCAGGGGCTTGAACCCATGTTTAGGCTGACTCCAACACCTGGGCCTTTAACTGCTCTGCTCTGTGGCCTCCCTGGGGTCAATAGCCCAAGAATCCCCTCAGTGCAATGGCAGATGCGTAATTTGTGGCCTAACCACTGCCTCCCAAATGCTGCGAAATGTGTCAGAGGTGGCAGCCTCTCAGACAAGGTGGCCTGGAGCACAGGAAGATGAATGGTCCAGCTGAGTTCTGCCCAGGGCCTCTGGCCAATCAGGTATGGGTAGAAACCTCCACCCATCCAGGCCCCAGCAAATAGGATTTCTACAAGCATGGATGGGCCGGCTGCCTGTTACTGCCAGGAGCTAAGTTGTTTCTTTATGCCACAATAAATCTGGCAGTAGGAGCCAGTGAAGGCAATGATTACTTTTACGACCTCTCTGCTTGCCCCTGATTGGGACACATCATATATCCCAGGCAGCCAGGAGATGGAGCCGAGACATTGATGGATGCCAAGGCCACTTGCAAGGCCCTCACTGGGAGCGGGGCCTGGCCACTCTCTCTCCCTGGGCTCCATGGACCTCTCCCTGCTGACCTCTGATGGACAGGAGCTTAATGAGCTTTGGCCTCAACATCCCCATGGCTAAGGGCAACGCAGAAATAATGAAGTCATTGCATAGGCAGGATCAACAGGTTCAAGTCAGATGATGGAGGATGAGGGCTTTGGACGAGGGGATGTGAGAAAGCAAAGTTTATTTGCACTGAAATGCATGGGTCACATTGCTAAGTGCTCTCCAGATTTTCACACATCAGCCTCCAATGATGCCTGTGAGGTGGGTACTGTGATCATCCCCATTTTACAGACGAAGAGACTGAGGCTTTGAGAGCTTAAACAACTTGCCCCAGGTCAGAGAGCCAACAAGGTCATATAAACAGCAGCAACCAGTGTGATCCTTTGAAAAAACAGGCCAGACCCCATCATTCCCCTGCTCAAACCCTCAAGGGCCTCCTACTGCTCTGCCCATGAGCACTGTGCTCCTGACCATGACCTCTGAGGCCTGCCTGCCCTCGCTCTGCCGTCTCTGGCCACATCCCTCCTGCATGCTCCTGCATGCTCCAGCTTTTTCTCTTCCCCCATCACTCCGAGCTCTTTGCCTGGATACCCTTCTCCAGTCCCACATACTTGGCTCCTGCCTGGTGTCCAGTCCCCAGATCCGATATCCCCTTCCTGAGATGCCCTCCCTGAATGCCCTGAGTGGCCCTCCAGCACCCACTGTCCCTGTCTCTTTCAGGGCCCATCCTGTGTCTGTCCCTCACTGCTTTCTCACAGTGGTTGATGAGCTTGTTCATTCACTGGATATTTGTTCCCACCAGACTGTGAGCAGTGAGAGGCCAGGGCCATGTAGGTCTTGTCCTCTTGTGTCCCTTGCACTGGACATGTGCCTGGCATTTGACAGGAATTCAATGAGTATTTGTTGAATAATGAAAGTTGCAGAGCTGGGACTGGAGCTCAGGTCTGTCTGGCTCCAAAGCCTATACTTTTAAGCACATCATTTTTAGTCCTTGGATGGACCACATGGCTTGATGTCATGAGGATGGTTTCCAATGCTGGCTCGGCCACCACCATGCTATGTGGCGTTGAGCAAACACCTGGGGCTCAGTCTCCTGAACTGTCCATAAGGACGTGGACCTAGGTGCTTTCTATGAGTGTATTCTAAATTGGACAGCACTGGGTTCAACATCCCTCAGACAATGGGGCTGACATTGCTCAGTGGGGCCCAGGCCATTGGCCTAAGCATCTAGTTTCTGAGCCTGGTGGCTTTGCGCTGACTTTAGTCTGAGGGCCTGCACCCCCACCCTGGCTGGTCCTGGTGATCACAATAGTGACTGCTGTGCATTGTCCCTAATACATTTTTTCTAATATTCTCAGCACCCCCAGAGGTGGGTATCACCAAGCCCATTTGACAGACAAGAAAGTCAAGGCTCAGGGAAGAGCTCTCAGTGTCAGAGCTAGATAAGAATCAGTCTCTGAACTAGAACTTGGGACTGACTCCAAAGCCAGTGCTCATGCAAACTCAGCAACAACAGCCAGTCTATGCCTGCACCACACCAGCTGCTTGAGGCTGCTCTCAACCCTCAGCCAGGCTGCTCTCCCAACCCTGCTATAGCTGGGCTTACCTCCATCGAGCCTCACCATCAACAGCCTCTCCAGGCCCAGGGCTGGCAGGCAGCAGGCCGGCATGAAACACTGCCCAATCATCCTAGTCTGTGAATTCTCACTGTGAGGGTGGCCTGAGTTAGCGGGAGCTCGGGAGCTAAGAACTCCTTTCAAGAAAAAGGAAACTAGTCTAAGTTCGCCTCCTACTCTCTCCCTGGGGTGGGAAGAGGAACCTTGACCAGAAATGTCATTTTCTGCTCATTTCAAAGTGAATAATGTGGCTCTCTTGGGCTGTGTTTATTCTCTTGATTTGATGCATTCTCTGTTTGAAAAGAGCTGGAGACAGAGTCCCCTCCCTGGGTCTCTTTCCTTGCTGAGCTCTGGGATCCCTTCCCCTTCCCCTCCCTCCCAAACCCACACCGCGTCCTCCGGTCAACTCTGAGTACCTCTCCCCATCAAAGTCCTTTAAAGATCCAGGTCCCCTCATGCTCCTGTCATCTTGGCCTCTCTCCTCACCTCCACCTCTTTTGGACCCATCCAGTGAATTTGCATCCTTGTGTAGAGATGAGGATGAGGTTGAGTATTGAGGAATCATGGAACTTCTCATTTAACCACATTCTCTGAGAGAATCTCGCAAAACGGCAAAATGTCACAAGGCTGCTGGCATGGAAAGAACCAGGGTCTTTCCTGGGCCTCAGGATCAGGGTGACTGTGGTCCACACTCAGCTCAGCTTCCAACCTACACATTTTACAGATGGGAAAACTGAAGAGGAGGAGAATTTGTGATAAATAGCTGCTCACCTCTGCCCTGCTCGAACCAGCCTCCAAAGGACCTCTCCATCCACAAACACCTTAGTTATTTTATGTAACTTTCACGGGAACCCCTTGTGTAATTGGCTGGGTAGGTCTTATCATTATTCCAATGAATGGGTATGGAAACAGGCCCAGAAAGGGAAAGT
Source organism: Homo sapiens (assembly GCF_000001405.40). NCBI lineage: Eukaryota > Metazoa > Chordata > Mammalia > Primates > Hominidae > Homo > Homo sapiens. The sequence goes on along the minus strand of NT_187514.1, from coordinate 101,214 downwards.
GACTTATCCAAGGTTATTCAGCAAGAGAGCTGCAGGGCTATTTTAAGACCCAGCCCCCTAACACCCAGTGGGATCTTTTCCATGCTTCCTACTCTCTACTTTTCCCAGGACCAAATGTAGGAGGGGAGGAGATGGGGAGCCGGTGAGGTTCTGCCCCAGGACCATGGCACGCACACTGGCTGGTGTCCTCTTTGTGCCACCCATGTCCTGCCAAACTCAGCAAAGGACCAAAGTGACCGTTTACTTCCACTACTCTGATCCTGAGATGTGGAGGGGCTGCCCGTAATGACCACAATGCTGCCAAGCTGTATGCTGAGTCTGGCACCAGCACTGTCCATCCCTCCCCTGACCTTCCTGTGGTCCATACCCACTGCCCTACACTTCAAATGCTGCTTCAGGCCTAAGCCCTCTTCATGGCCCCTGTCCAGTCACCAGTCAGCATTTGCTCCCAGCAAATGGTCTGACTTTCTTCCTGTTGGGAAGTAGAGGCCATGAGGCACACACATCCTTCTCTTCCTTCTATGGAACAGCCCATCTACCTGTTCTCAGCCATTTCGTAGCAAAGTCCACCCTCTCCCAGTGGAAGGCACCTTCCCACCTGGATCCATTCCCTCTGCCTCTGTAGGGTTCCATCCACATCCACATCTCTGGAGTTCTGGCTCCATGTACTGGTAAAAAAAAAAAAATATATATATATATATACGTGCTCAGCTCTCTCCTACTGCGTTAGCTCACCCAACTCCGCCAACCAAGGCTTCTCTGCATCCAACCTGCTCAACTTTCCCCCATGTAATCTCCTTGGTCCCTGGGACCATTTCCGTTTTCTCCCCTCCCTTCCACACACTGTTCCTGGAAGTGCAAGGGCAGGTGCAGGGACAGGAAGAGTTAATGCCTCAAGAGGTGATGGTTAGTGCCCACACAGGAAGGTGGCTCTGGGGCATCTTCCACTCAGGCCTCAGAGGCTCCCCAGCGGGACTGAGCCCCGCAGTTGCTGTCACTGTAACCCATTCCTAATACACGCTTCCTTGACTTTTCTCCCTGCCTTGCCTCAGTTGCCCCATTTCCTCATGTGTGCTCCTAGGGTCCCCTCTCAGATAAACTGCCAGCACCGGGGCCCTTGACTCAGGCCCTGCTTTTAAGGCAGCTGCCCTAAGACACACGCCTGCCCCTCTAACTCTGGAGGGAGTTAACTGCTCCCTCCTCCTGTTCCCTGATGTCTGTTTTTGTTTCTTGATGGAGAGTTTCTGCCTTTTGTTCCAGACTGTGAGTCCCCGAGGTAAAGGCAAGCTCTTCCCCATCTCTGTGTCTCCTTAACCTGGCACGTCACCCCAGTACATCAGTGGCCAAGAAATGTTTGCTGAGTGAGAAAGGGAATGGGTGAAGGGGACAGGAGCCTCCAGGACCACCCACACTGGGTGACCAGCCCTGTGAAGCAAATTGTCCCATGGATGTGGTCCTCTCAACCCCGACTTCTCCTCTCCATCAGGGGGCCTATCTCTGCCCACCCCCGCCTGGCCCAGAACCCTTCACCCTGTCGTGGACCCCTGTCCTACCCGCTATGATGCAGTCTGCCTGGTGCAGCCCAGGAAAAGTCCCCAGACAGGGGAGCAGGCCCCTCGGCAGGAGATTCTGGCTCTGGCTAAACAAAGGTCACAGGAACCGAGTGAAATGCTGTTATAATGCGACATAATTCAGTGCTGCCTTCCAGCAGATGTCGCTTTGGAGGGATGGATTTGTCCCAGCTGGACTCTGGGGCGCCTTCTGAAGCACATGGAAGAACCACCTGCTGCTTCTGATGTGAGCAGCCCCAGGAAATGGTAATTTTGACAAATCAACTTATTCAGGCCAAACGCATGGACCCAGTTTCCAGCAGGAGGAATTACAATCCTTGCTGAGGAAGTGAAACAGCTGCTGTGGAGCCAAGCGGCCGTGCAGGCCACGTCCAGCCCCGAAGCCCCTGGGGAACAGGATGCTCCGAGCACAGGTAGCCGAGGAGTCAAACTCAGTGCCCTGGTCCCGTGAAAGACCATTTTACAAATGAGAAAACTGAGGCCAGTGGAGGCAAAGGAGCGCTTGCCCAATGTCACACACCATGAGTCAGTGGTAGTCCCTGTCTGGGAACTTCTCCTGGGCTGTACGAGGCAGACTGCATCATAGGGGGTAGGACAGGGGTCAACGGCAGGGTGAGGGGCTCTGGGCCAGTCAGGGGCAGGCAGGGCCCTGAGCTGAATCCAGACAGCTCTGGCCCTGCCCTCCCCTATGGCTCTGAAGAGCAGGCAGGTGAGACTCGTGCTGAAATAAAAACTAAAACAACCGACATCGTGACCAACTCACAGGTTTGGCCTGCCCTTTTGCTACAGATGCTGACCTGGGAATGAGAGACTCTGGGATCTGATGCTGGTTCTGCCCCTACCTTCCTGTGTGACCTGTTTCCCCCCCATTCAAAGGGCATAATGCTCCGCTTCCCAGGATGATGTGGGATCACATGAGGTCCAGGAGAAACTCCTTGGCACACTGTGTGAAAGTAAACCTGGGAACAGTGTAATCATCACCCACACACCTGCAGCGACGGGATGCTGAGGATGGGGATGGTCCCTCGGGTGAGCTGCTAGAAGTGAAGGAGAAATCAACGCGTCTTCTTCCAGGCACGCAGCTCCGAGCCAGGGGAGGGGCCTCGAGTGGGTTGTAAGTTTGGAAGCCTCGGCCATCCTCCAATAATGCAAGGGTGTCTCTGAAGCCATATCCCCCTTGCTGTTGCAGAAGGTGATATGGAATCTCAGATCTCAGGCTGCCTGTCCACAGAAACTTTGTGGTGCTGGGCTGTGGGGAAAAGACTAGGGAGGAAGATGAAGAAAAGGAGGAAAAAAGGGGATAGAGAGGAGGAGTTCTGGTTCCATGTGTTAGTAGAAAAATGTGTGCTCAGCTGGCTTATCACTCAGTATTTGCAGGACTTTGGTCAAGTCACTTAACACTGCTAACCCTGGTTTTCACATCTGTAAAATGGGGATGAGAATGGCACCTTTTTCTGAGAGTCAGGTTGGCAAGGCACTTAGCACCATACTGGGTTCAGTTTAAGTTCTCAAAACTTGGCAGCCAGCAGTGCAGGACGAGTCCCTGGATGGCCTTGGTGACCCAGCTCTTCCCCCTTTTCTCACTTGAAGTTCTCAGAATAACTGTACAGTGTGGTGAGAATGCAACACATTCCAAAGATTAGGAGGAACTGGCAGGAATAGCCCAGGCTCTGTTCCTGTCCCTCCTAGAGCAGGATATCCTACAATGCTGTGGCCCAGTGAGTCATATTCTCCCTGGGGTACAGAACCCAGAGCAGACTGCTTTCAGGATCTCTTGGTTGCCGTGCAAGTGGAGCACATGCAGGCAAGACTCTGCCTACCTTGGGCAGTTTTCCTGAGCCTTGGAGGACTCTCCATTAATCAAAGACTTCTTTTGTCCTTTGCTGACTTTCTATGAATAATAAAGTTGCTTCACTTAACTTGTGTGAGTGTCCTGTCTCACCAGACTCATAAAATGGATTGATACTGGTGCATAGTATTGGGCAAATGTTTAGAGTCTTCCTCTGAGATTGATAAGGGCACACAGTGAGCCTGCTTCACAAGCAGTGCAGTGGCAAAGCCAGAGTAGTCACTGCAGATCTACAGTGATGTGTTCCTCAGGGTGGGGCTACCCACTCCACCCTGCTGACCATGGGGACAGGAGAATGAACAAGCTTGTTCATGGAGAGGAGCAGAAGGGCTCGCCCAAGCTGACAAAGACCTGAAGGATAGATTCCCAGACCACACAGGTGACAGATTGCATTTACCTACTTTTTGTCATGTTAATGGGGCTAGGAATTATTTATATCTGTCTAACTGCAATTATATTAGTGGAGACTACAGTCATGAGTTCATTGACTAGTGGTGATTATAATAATTATTGTAGTGAGAAGCTGAAGGTATGCCAGTAGATCGATCAGGAAGAAATGTGAATGGAGAGCTGTATTAGACTGTTTTCACACTGCTGATAAAGACATACCCAAGACTGGGAAGAAAAAGAGGTTTAATTGGACTCACAGTTCAACATGGCTGGGGAGGCCTCAGAATCGTGGCAGGAGGTGAAAAGCACTTCTTTTTTTTTTTTTTCTTTTTTATTTTTATTATTATTATTATTTTTATTTTTTATTATACTTTAAGTTTTAGGGTACATGTGCACATTGTGCAGGTTAGTTACATATGTATACATGTGCCATGCTGGTGCGCTGCACCCACTAACTCGTCATCTAGCATTAGGTATATCTCCCAATGCTATCCCTCCCCCCTCCCCCCACCCCACAACAGTCCCCAGAGTGTGATATTCCCCTTCCTGTGTCCATGTGATCTCATTGTTCAATTCCCACCTATGAGTGAGAATATGCGGTGTTTGGTTTTTTGTTCTTGCGATAGTTTACTGAGAATGATGATTTCCAATTTCATCCATGTCCCTACAAAGGACATGAACTCATCATTTTTTATGGCTGCATAGTATTCCATGGTGTATATGTGCCACATTTTCTTAATCCAGTCTATCATTGTTAGACATTTGGGTTGGTTCCAAGTCTTTGCTATTGTGAATAATGCCGCAATAAACATACGTGTGCATGTGTCTTTATAGCAGCATGATTTATAGTCCTTTGGGTATATACCCAGTAATGGGATGGCTGGGTCAAATGGTATTTCCAGTTCTAGATCCCTGAGGAATCGCCACACTGACTTCCACAATGGTTGAACTAGTTTACAGTCCCACCAACAGTGTAAAAATGTTCCTATTTCTCCACATCCTCTCCAGCACCTGTTGTTTCCTGACTTTTTAATGATCGCCATTCTAACTGGTGTGAGATGGTATCTCATTGTGGTTTTGATTTGCATTTCTCTGATGGCCAGTGATGATGAGCATTTTTTCATGTGTCTGTTGGCTGCATAAATGTCTTCTTTTGAGAAGTGTCTGTTCATGTCCTTCACCCACTTTTTGATGGGGTTGTTTGTTTTTTTCTTGTAAATTTGTTTGAGTTCATTGTAGATTCTGGATATTAGCCCTTTGTCAGATGAGTAGGTTGCAAAAATTTTCTCCCATTTTGTAGGTTGCCTGTTCACTCTGATGGTAGTTTCTTTTGCTGTGCAGAAGCTCTTTAGTTTAATTAGATCCCATTTGTCAATTTTGTCTTTTGTTGCCATTGCTTTTGGTGTTTTAGACATGAAGTCCTTGCCCATGCCTATGTCCTGAATGGTAATGCCTACGTTTTCTTCTAGGGTTTTTATGGTTTTAGGTCTAACGTTTAACTCTTTAATCCATCTTGAATTGATTTTTGTATAAGGTGTAAGGAAGGGATCCAGTTTCAGCTTTCTACATATGGCTAGCCAGTTTTCCCAGCACCATTTATTAAATAGGGAATCCTTTCCCCATTGCTTGTTTTTGTCAGGTTTGTCAAAGATCAGATAGTTGTAGATATGCGGCGTTATTTCTGAGGGCCCTGTTCTGTTCCATTGATCAATATCTCTGTTTTGGTACCAGTACCATGCTGTTTTGGTTACTGTAGCCTTGTAGTATAGTTTGAAGTCAGGTAGTGTGATGCCTCCAGCTTTGTTCTTTTGGCTTAGGATTGACTTGGCGATGTGGGCTCTCTTTTGGTTCCATATGAACTTTAAAGTAGTTTTTTCCAGTTCTGTGAAGAAAGTCATTGGTAGCTTGATGGGGATGGCATTGAATCTGTAAATTACCTTGAGGAGTATGGCCATTTTCACGATATTGATTCTTCCTACCCATGAGCATGGAATGTTCTTCCATTTGTTTGTATCCTCTTTTATTTCCTTGAGCAGAGGTTTGTAGTTCTCCTTGAAGAGGCCCTTCACATCCCTTGTAAGTTGGATTCCTAGGTATTTTATTCTCTTTGAAGCAATTGTGAATGGGAGTTCACTCATGATTTGGCTCTCTGTTTGTCTGTTGTTGGTGTATAAGAATGCTTGTGATTTTTGTACATTGATTTTGTATCCTGAGACTTTGCTGAAGTTGCTTATCAGCTTAAGGAGATTTTGGGCTGAGACAATGGGGTTTTCTAGATATACAATCATGTCGTCTGCAAACAGGGACAATTTGACTTCCTCTTTTCCTAATTGAATACCCTTTATTTCCTTCTCCTGCCTAATTGCCCTGGCCAGAACTTCCAACACTATGTTGAATAGGAGTGGTGAGAGAGGGCATCCCTGTCTTGTGCCAGTTTTCAAAGAGAATGCTTCCAGTTTTTGCCCATTCAGTATGATATTGGCTGTGGGTTTGTCATAGATAGCTCTTATTATTTTGAAATACGTCCCATCAATACCTAATTTATTGAGAGTTTTTAGCATGAAGGGTTGTTGAATTTTGTCAAAGGCTTTTTCTGCATCTATTGAGATAATCATGTGGTTTTTGTCTTTGGCTCTGTTTTTATGCTGGATTACATTTATTGATTTGCGTATATTGAACCAGCCTTGCATCCCAGGGATGAAGCCCACTTGATCATGGTGGATAAGCTTTTTGATGTGCTGCTGGATTCATTTTGCCAGTGTTTTATTGAGGATTTTTGCCTCAATGTTCATCAAGGATATTGGTCTAAAATTCTCTTTTTTTGTTGTGTCTCTGCCTGGCTTTGGTATCAGAATGATGCTGGCGTCATAAAATGAGTTAGGGAGGATTCCCTCTTTTTCTATTGATTGGAATAGTTTCAGAAGGAATGGTACCAGTTCCTCCTTGTACCTCTGGTAGAATTCGGCTGTGAATCCATCTGGTCCTGGACTCTTTTTGGTTGGTAAGCTATTGATTATTGCCACAATTTCAGCTCCTGTTATTGGTCTATTCAGAGATTCAACTTCTTCCTGGTTTAGTCTTGGGAGAGTGTATGTGTCCAGGAATTTATCCATTTCTTCTAGATTTTCTAGTTTATTTGCGTAGAGGTGTTTGTAGTATTCTCTGATGGTAGTTTGTATTTCTGTGGGATTGGTGGTGATATCCCCTTTATCATTTTTTTATTGCATCTATTTGATTCTTCTCTCTTTTTTTCTTTATTAGTCTTGCTAGCGGTCTATCAATTTTGTTTATCCTTTCAAAAAACCAGCTCCTGGATTCATTAATTTTTTGAAGGGTTTTTTGTGTCTCTATTTCCTTCAGTTCTGCTCTGATTTTAGTTATTTCTTCCCTTCTGCTAGCTTTTGAATGTGTTTGCTCTTGCTTTTCTAGTTCTTTTAATTGTGATGTTAGGGTGTCAATTTTGGATCTTTCCTGCTTTCTCTTGTGGGCATTCAGTGCTATAAATTTCCCTCTGCACACTGCTTTGAATGCATCCCAGAGATTCTGGTATGTTGTGTCTTTGTTCTCATTGGTTTCAAAGAACAACTTTATTTCTGCCTTCATTTCGTTATGTACCCAGTAGTCATTCAGGAGCAGGTTGTTCAGTTTCCATGTAGTTGAGCGGTTTTGAGTGAGATTCTTAATCCTGAGTTCTAGTTTGATTGCACTGTGGTCTGAGAGATAGTTTGTTATAATTTCTGTTCTTTTACATTTGCTGAGGAGTGCTTTACTTCCCAGTATGTGGTCAATTTTGGAGTAGGTGTGGTGTGGTGCTGAAAAAAATGTATATTCTGTTGATTTGGGGTGGAGAGTTCTGTAGATGTCTATTAGGTCCGCTTGCTGCAGAGCTGAGTTCAATTCCTGGGTATCCTTGTTGACTTTCTGTCTCGTTGATCTGTCTAATGTTGACAGTGGGGTGTTAAAGTCTCCCATTATTAATGTGTGGGAGTCTAAGTCTCTTTGTAGGTCACTCAGGACTTGCTTTATGAATCTTGGTGCTCCTGTATTGGGTGCATATATATTTAGGATAGTTAGCTCTTCTTGTTGAATTGATCCCTTTACCATTATGTAATGGCCTTCTTTGTCTCTTTTGATCTTTGTTGGTTTAAAGTCTGTTTTATCAGAGACTAGGATTGCAACCCCTGCCTTTTTTTGTTTTCCGTTTGCTTGGTAGATCTTCCTCCATCCCTTTATTTTGAGCCTATGTGTGTCTCTGCATGTGAGATGGGTTTCCTGAATACAGCACACTGATGGGTCTTGACTCTTTATCCAATTTGCTAGTCTGTGTCTTTTAATTGGAGCATTTAGTCCATTTACATTTAAAGTTAATATTGTTATGTGTGAATTCGATCCTGTCATTATGATGTTAGCTGGTTATTTTGCTCGTTAGTTGATGCAGTTTCTTCCTAGCCTTGATGGTCTTTACATTTTGGCATGATTTTGCAGTGGCTGGTACCGGTTGTTCCTTTCCATGTTTAGTTCTTCCTTCAGGAGCTCTTGTAAGGCAGGCCTGGTGGTGACAAAATCTCTCAGCATTTGCTTGTCTGTAAAGTATTTTATTTCTCCTTCACTTATGAAGCTTAGTTTGGCTGGATATGAAATTCTGGGTTGAAAATTCTTTTTTTTAAGAATGTTGAATATTGACCCCCACTCTCTTCTGGCTTGTAGGGTTTCTGCCGAGAGATCCGCTGTTGGTCTGATGGGCTTCCCTTTGAGGGTAACCCGACCTTTCTCTCTGGCTGCCCTTAACATTTTTTCCTTCATTTCAACTTTGGTGAATCTGACAATTATGTGTCTTGGAGTTGCTCTTCTCGAGGAGTATCTTTGTGGCGTTCTCTGTATTTCCTGAATCTGAACGTTGGCCTGCCTTGCTAGATTGGGGAAGTTCTCCTGGATAATATCCTGCAGAGTGTTTTCCAACTTGGTTCCATTCTCCCCATCACTTTCAGGTACACCAATCAGACGTAGATTTGGTCTTTTCACATAGTCCCATATTTCTTGGAGGCTTTGCTCATTTCTTTTTATTCTTTTTTCTCTAGACTTCCCTTCTCGCTTCATTTCATTCATTTCATCTTCCATCGCTGATACCCTTTCTTCCAGTTGATCGCATCGGCTCCTGAGGCTTCTGCATTCTTCACGTAGTTCTCGAGCCTTGGTTTTCAGCTCCATCAGCTCCTTTAAGCACTTCTCTGTATTGGTTATTCTAGTTATACATTCTTCTAAATTTTTTTCAAAGTTTTCAACTTCTTTGCCTTTGGTTTGAATGTCCTCCCGTAGCTCAGAGTAATTTGATTGTCTGAAGCCTTCTTCTCTCAGCTCATCAAAGTCATTCTCCATCCAGCTTTGTTCCGTTGCTGGTGAGGAACTGTGTTCCTTTGGAGGAGGAGAGGCGCTCTGCTTTTTAGAGTTTCCAGTTTTTCTGTTCTGTTTTTTCCACATCTTTGTGGGTTTATCTACTTTTGGTCTTTGATGATGGTGATGTACAGATGGGTTTTTGGTGTGGATGTCCTTTCTGTGTTAGTTTTCCTTCTAACAGAGAGGACCCTCAGCTGCAGGTCTGTTGGAGTACCCTGCTGTGTGAGGTGTCAGTGTGCCCCTGCTGGGGGGTGCCTCCCAGTTAGGCTGCTCGGGGGTCAGGGGTCAGGGACCCACTTGAGGAGGCAGTCTGCCCGTTCTCAGATCTCCAGCTGCGTGCTGGGAGAACCACTGCTCTCTTCAAAGCTGTCAGACAGGGACATTTAAGTCTGCAGAGGTTACTGCTGTCTTTTTGTTTGTCTGTGCCCTGCCCCCAGAGGTGGAGCCTACAGAGGCAGGCAGGCCTCCTTGAGCTGTGGTGGGCTCCACCCAGTTTGAGCTTCCCGGCTGCTTTGTTTGCCTAATCAAGCCTGGGCAGTGGCAGGCACCCCTCCCCCAGCCTCGCTGCTGCCTTGCAGTTTGATCTCAGACTCCCTAGTGAGATGAACCCGGTACCTCAGATGGAAATGCAGAAATCACCCGTCTTCTGCGTCGCTCATGCTGGGAGCTGTAGACCGGAGCTGTTCCTATTCGGCCATCTTGGCTCCTCTCAGCGAAAAGCACTTCTTACATGGTGGTGGCAAGAGAAAATGAGAAAGAAGCAAAAGTGGAAACCCCTGATAAACTCATCTGATCTTGTGAGTCTTATTCACTATCACGAGAATAGCACAGGAAAGACTGGCCCCCATGATTCAATTACCTCCCCCTGGGTCCCTCCTACAACATGTGGGAATTCTGGGAGATACAACTCAAGTTGAGATTTGGATGGAGACACAACCAAACCATATCATTCCTGCCCTGGCCCCTCCAAATCTCATGTCCTCACATTTCAAAACCAATCATGTCTTCCCAACAGTCCCCCAAAGTCTTAACTCATTTTAGCATTAACCCAAAAGTCCACAGCCCAAAGTCTCATCTGAGACAAGCAAGTCCCTTCCACCTATGAGCCTGTAAAATCAAAAGCAAGCTAGTTACTTCCTAGATACAATGGGGGTACAGGTATTGGGTAAATACAGCTCTTCCAAATGGAAGAAATTGGCCAAAATAAAGGGGTTACAGGGCCCATGCAAATCCAAAACCTAGTGGGGCAGTCAAACTTTAAAGCTCCAAAATGATCTCCTTTGACTCCATGTTTCACACCCAGGTTATGCTGATGCAAGAGGTGGGTTCCCACAGTCTTGGGCAGCTCCACCCCTGTGACTTACTCCCTCCTGGCTGCTTTCACAGGCTGGCATTGAGTGTCTGTGGCTTTTCCAGGTGCATGGTGCAAGCTGTTGGTGGATCTACTATTCTGGGGTCTGGAGGATGGTGGCCCTCTTCTCACAGTTCCACTAGGTGGTGCCCCAGTAGGGACTCTGTTTGGGGGCTCTGACCCCACATTTCCTTTCTGTACTGCCCTAGCAGAGGTTCTTCATGAGGGTCCCACCCCTGTAACAAAATTTTGCCTGGGCTTCGAGGTGTTTCCATGTATCTTCTGAAATCTAGGCGGAGTTTCCCACACCTCAATTCTTGGCTGCTATGCATCCACAGGCTCAGCACCATATAGAAGCTTCCAAGGCTTGGGGCTCTCACTCTCTGAAGCCATAGCCTGAGCTGTACATTGGCCCCTTTCAGCCACGGCTGGAGCCACTGGGACACATGGTACCAAGTTCCTAGGTTACACACAGCTCGGGGACTCTGCACCTGGCCCACGAAAACACTTTTTCCTCCTGGGCCTCCAAGCCTGTGATGGGAGGGGCTGCTGGGAAGTTCTCTGACATGGCCTGGAGACATTTTCCCCATGGTCTTGGGGGATTAACATTAGGCTCCTTGCTACTTATACTAATTTCTGCAGCTGGCTTGAATTTCTCCCCAGAAAATGGAATTTTCTTTTCTATCTCATAGTCAGGCTACAAATATTCCAAACTTTTTTGCTCTGCTTCCCTTATAAGACTGAATGCCTTTAACAGCACCTAAGTTACCTCTTGAATACTTTGCTGCTTAGAAATTTCTTCTGTCAGATACCCTAAATCATCTCTGTCTGGTTCAAAGTTCCACAAATCTCTAGGGCAGGGGCAAAATGCAGCCAGTCTCTTTGTTAAAACATAACAAGAGTCACCTTTGCTTCAGTTCCCAACAACTTTTTCATCTCCTTCTGAGACCACTTCAGCCTGAATTTTATTGTCCATATCACTATCAGCATTTTGGGAAAAGACATTTGACAAGTCTCTAGGAAGTTCCAAACTTTCCCATATTTTCCTGTCTTCTTCTGAACCCTTCCAACTCTTCCAACCTCTGCCTGTTACCCAGTTCCAAAGTCGCTTCCATATTTTTGAATATGTCTTCAGCAACGCTGCACTCTACTGGTACCAATTTACTGTATTTGTCTGTTTTCACACTTCTGATAAAGACATACTGGAGACTGGGAAGAAAAAAAGGTTTAATTGGACTCACAGTTCCACAGGGCTGGAGAGGCCTCAGAATCATGGTGGAAGGCAAAAAGCACTTCTTACATGGTGGTGGCAAGAGAAAATGAGGAAGAAGCAAAAGTGGAAATCCCTGATAAACCCATCAGATCTCGTGAGATTTATTCACTATTATGAGAATAGCATGGAAAAGACTGGCCCCCATGATTCAACTACCTCCCCATTGGTCCCTCCCACAACACAAGAGAATTCTGGGAAATATAATTCAAGTTGAGATTTCAGTGGGGAAACAGCTAAACCATATCAAAAGCCGTGAGCAAATGACTGTCATTTCTCCACCGAGACAGGTCCTCTCACCCCAAACTGCCAGAGCTTGCCCCTCTTAGCTTACTCCTCCTTGAAGTAGCTAAAGGACTATGGGAAGACAGGGGACTCAGAGGTGTTTTTAATAATTTTTTATTTTTTAATTGGAAAAAAATGCCTGCTGAATATTTGTTTTAGACTTTGCCTCCTAAGTTACTGAGCTATGAGAAGATACTTTTATATGAGGGCTGTATCATCACATGTCACGGCTTATTTTGTACATAATTAGTGACTCACACGCACAAGGAAGCAGACACACACACACACACACACACACACACACACACACACACACACAGAAACCATAAGAGGCCTCTCAGGGTATTAAAGTCCGAAAGTCATGAAAAATCCTTTTCGTGGCACCTTGAGACCCACACAGGAATAATTGTCCCATTCTTGTTCTTCCAGCTCTCCTCTCCCTCCAGCCCAGCTTGTCCTGTGGACTGCGGCTCCTGAATGGAAGGGAAGTTTCCATTTCTCCTGGGCATACACTGAGGAGTGAGCTGTTGGGTCATGTGGTAACTCTATGCTTAACTTTTTGAGGAACTGCTAAACTGTTTTCCACAGTGGCTGCACCGTTTTGTATTCTGGCCAACAGTGTATGAGAGTTTCAATTTCTCCACATCCTCACCAACTACTGTTGCTGTCTAGCTTTTTGCTATAGCCATCCTAGTAGGGATGAAGTAGTATCTCACTGTGGTTTTGATTTGCATAGCTTTAATGAGTAATGATGTTGAGCATCTTTTCATGTGCTTATTGGCCATTTGTGTATATTCTTTGGAGAAATGCCTATTCATATCCTTTGCCCTTTTATAGATTGGGTGGCTTGTCTACTTATTGTTGAGTTGTGAGATTTCTTTATATATTCTATATTTATTTCAGTTACCTATCAGATATATGATTTGCACAAATTTTATCCTATTCTGTGGGTTGTATTTTCACTTTCTTGATGATGTCCTTTGAGGCACAAATGTTCTTAATTTTGATGAATCCCAATTTATCTACTTTTTCTTTTTTTGCTGTGCTTTAGGGTCATATCTAAAAACTACTGCCTAATCCAGGGTCATGATGATTTATGCCTATGTTTACTTATAAGAGTTTTATAGCTTTAACTTTTACATGGAGGCCTATGATATATTTTGAGTATTTTTTTGTGTATGGTGTGAAATAGGGGTACAACTTCATTCTTTTGTGTATGGATACCTAATTGTTCCAGCACTATTTGTTGAAAAGAGTATTCTGTGTCTCATTGTATTGTCTTGGCATCCTTGTTGAAAATTCACTGGACATAAGGGTAATGGTTTATATTTTGACTGTCAATTCTATTCCATTGATCTATCTTTATCCTTGTGCAAATAACCACAGTATTTTGATTTCTGTAGCTTTGTAGTATGAGTCTTTCAACTTTGGTCTTCTTTTTTTGACATTGTTTTGGGTATTCTGGATCTTTTGAGTTTCCTTATGAATTTTAGAATAAGCTTGTCAATTTCTGCAAAAAATCGCAGCTGGATTGTGATAAGGATTCCACTGAATCTGTAAATCAACTTGCAGTATATTGCCATCTTAACAATATTAAGTCTTCTGATCCATAAACTTTCCCTTTATTTAGATTTTCCTCAATTTATTTCAAAATGTTTTGTAGGTTTCAGAGTATAGATTTTGCACTGCTTTTGTTAAATTTATTCTTAAGTATTTTATTCTGTTTGATGCTACTGCAAATAGAATTGTTTTCTAATTTCATTTCAGATTGTTCATTGCTAGCATATAGAAACACACTTGATTGTTGTGTATTGATCTTGTATTCCTTCAACTTTGCTGAACTCGCTTGTTAGAGCCAATGATTTTTGATAGATTCCTTAGGGTTTTCTATATAAAAATTATCTAATCTGCAGATAGAGATAGTTTTAATTTTTTCCATTTCCATTTGGATGCTTTTTATTTCTTTTTCTTGCCTAATTTCCCTGCCTAGAACCTCCAGTACAATGTTGAACAGAAGTAGCGAGGGTAGATATCTAGGCTTGCTTCTGATCTCAAGGGAAAGCATTCAGTCTTTCACCACTACATATTATGTTAACTGAGGTTTTTGTAGATGACCTTTGTCAGATTGAGAAAATTTCCATCATTTCCTTGCTTATTGATTTTTTTGGTTATGAAAGTGTGGTAGATTTTGACAAATGCTTTTTGTGCATTTATTGAGATGTTAATGCAGCTTTTGCCCTTTATTCTACTAATTGATATATCCCATTGATTGATTTTCTTTTACAATGTTATCTGTCCATTTTAATTTATTTTTTCATTTAAAAAATTTTAATGAATTTTATTGTTGGAACAGTTTTAGACTTATAGGAAAAAATTTCAAAGGTAGTATAGAGAGTTCCCATTAAACCCTATACCCACTTTCTCCTGTTATTAATATTTTAGAATAGTACGATACATTTCTTACACTTAATAGACCACGATTGATACATTATTGCTAACCAATTCATACTTTATTCAGATTTCCTTAGTTTTTACCTAATGTCCTTGGATCTCATTCAGGATGCCACATTAAAATTAGTGGTGATCTATACTTAGGTTTCTCTTGGACACACACACACACACACACATACATTTTGGTGATACATAATAGTTGTACATATTTTGGGGATATATGTGGTATTTTGATACACACCTACAATGTGTAATGATTGAGCCAGGGCAATGGGGACATTCATCACCCCAAACATTCACCCCTTCTTTATGTTAGGAACATTCTAATTTCTCTTCTTCAGCAATTTTGAACTATACAACAAATTATTGTTAACTATAGTTGCCCCACTGTGCTATAGAACACCAGATCTTATTCCTTCTATTGAACTCCATTTTCATACCCATTAACCGATCCTCTGTTTTTTCTCTCCACCCCACTTACTCTCCCCAGCCACTGGTAACCACCAATCAACTCTTTATCTCCATGAGAACCACTTATTTGCTCTCACTGCATGTGAGTTAGAACAAGCTGTATTTGTCTTTGCACCTGGCTAACTTCACTTAACATTAATGGCCTTCAATTCCATCCATGTTGCTGAAAATGACAGGATTTCATTCTTTTTATGGCTGAATAATATTCCTTTGTGTATATGTAAGACATTTTCCTTATCTGTTCATCCAGTGATAGATATTTAGGTTTATTTCATATCTTGACTACTGTGAATAGTACTTCAATAAACACAAGAGTGCAGGTATCTGTTTGATATATCCATTTCCTTTCTTTTGGATAAACACCCAGCAGTGGGATTATGTGTATTACATGGTAGTTCTATTTTTAGTTTTTAAAGGAACCTCTATACTGTTTTCCATAGTGGCTATACTAATTTACATTCCCAGCAATAGTGTACAAACATTCCCCTTTCTCTGAATCCTCACCAGCATCTGTTATTTGTTGTCTTTTTGATAAAAATCATTTTAACTGGGGTGAGATGATATTTCACTGTGGTTTTGATTTGCATTTCCCTGACGATTAGCAATGTTGACCATTTCTTTTTCATATGTCTGTTGGCCATTTGTATGTCTTTTTTTGAGAAATCTCTATTTACATCTTTTGCCCATTTTAAAATCGCGTTTATTTTTTCTGTTGAGTTGTTTGAGTTCCTTATGTATTCTGGTTATTAGCCCCTTGTTGGATGGACAGTTTGCAAATATCTTCTCCTACTCTGTAGGTTGTCTCTTCACTTTGTCAATTGTTCCCTTTGCTGTATATAAGCTTTTTAGCCTGAAGGAATCCCATTTGTTTATTTTTGCTTTTGTTGCCTGTGTTTTTAAGGTCTTACCCAAAAAAACTTGCCCAAATTTTCCTAAAGTATTTCCCCAGTGTTTTCCTCTCATAATTTCATAGTTTCAGGTCTTAGATTTAAGTCTTTAATCCATTTTGATCTGATTTTTGTATGTGGTGAGAGGTAGGGGTCTAGATTCATTCTGCTTATCTAGTTTTCCTAGCACCATTTATTGAAAAGACTGTCCTTTCCTCTAGTATGTTCTTGATCCCTTTGTCAGAAATGAGTTGGCTATAAATTCATGGACTTATATCTGGGTTCTCTATTCTGTTCCATCAGTCTTATGTGTCTGATTTCCTGCCAGTACCATGCTGTTTAGGTTACTATGGCTTTGTAGTATATTTGGAAGTCAGGTAGGTGATGCCTCCAGCTTTGTTCTTTTTCTTACGATTGCTTTGGTTATTTGGAGTCTTTTGTGGTCCTTTACAAATTTTAGTAATTTTTTTCTATTTCTGTGAAGAATGTTATTGGTATTTTGGTAGTGATTGCAATGAGTTTGTAGATCACTTTGAATAGTATTGACATTTTAACAATTAATTCTTTCAATCCATGAGCATGGGATAACTTTTCATGTTTTTCATCCTCAATAATGAATTTCTTTCATCAGTGTTTTTTAGTTTTCCTTGTAAAGATCTTTCACTTCTTTGTTAAATTTAGTTCTAGGTATTTTACATTTTTTGTAGCTATTGTAGATGGAATTGCTTTCATGATTTTTTTTTCAGATTTTTCACTGTTGGCATACATAAATGCTACTAATTTTTGTATGTCAATTTTTTATCTTGTAACTTTACTTGATTTATCACTTCTAACAGTTTTTTGGTGGAATCTTTAGGATTTTACTAAATATAATATCATGTCATCTGTGAACAAGAATAAGTTGACTTCTTCCTTTCCAATTTGGATGCCCTTTATTTCTTTCTCTTGCCTAGCTGATCTGCCTAGGACTTCCACTACTACGTTGAGTAAAAGTAGTGAAAGTGTGCATCATTGTCTTGTTCCAGACTTAGAGGGAAGGCTTTCAATTTTTCCCTGTTCCATATGACGTTAGCTGTGGGTATGTCATATACAGCAGTTATTATTTTGAGGCATGTTCCTTCTGTATTCAGTTTGTTGAGAGTTTTTGTCATAAAGCGATGTTGAATTTTGTCAATTGCTTTTTCAGCATCTATTGAAATAATTGTATCGTTTGTGTCCTTTGTTCTATTAAGCTGATGTATCACATTTGTTGATTTGTGTATGTTGAACCATACTTGCATCCCTAGGATGAATCCCCTTAAGCATGGTAAATAATCTTTTTAATGAGTTGTTGAACTCAGTTTGCTAATATTTTTTGAGGACTTTTGCATCTCTGTTCATCAGATGTTTTTGTCTGCTGCTTTCTTTATTGTTGTATCCTTGTCCAGTTTTGGGATCAGGATAATGTTAGCCTTGTAGAATGGGTTTGGAAATATTCCATCTTCAATTTTTTGGAATGGTTTGAGTAGAATTGGTATTAGCTCTTCTTCAAACATTTGGTAGAGTTCAGCAGTGGAGCCATCAGGTCCTGGGCTTTCTTTGATGAGAGACATTTTATTACTACTTTGATCTTGTTACTCATTATTGGTCTGTTCAGGTTTAATCTTGGTAGGTTGTATGCATCTGGGAATTTATTCATTTCTTCCAGATTTTCCAATTTTTTAACTTGTAGTTGTTCATGTTAGTCTCCAGTGATCCTTTGTATTTCTATAGTATCAGTTAATTTCCCTTTTCATTTCTGGTTTTATTTGTGTCTTCTCTTTTTTTAGTCTAGCTAAATGTTTTTCTTTTCAAAAACATTTTGTTTATCTTTTCAAAAAACCAACTTTTGGTATTTGTTTAGTCTCAATTTAATTTATTTCTGTTTGGATCTTTATTATTTCTTTCCTTCTATTAATTTTGGGTTTGGTTTGTTCTCACTTTTCTAGTTTGTTGAAGTTCATCATTAGGGTGTTTATTTGAAATCATCCTACTTTTTATTTCTTTTTTTATTGCTA
Organism: Homo sapiens; assembly: GCF_000001405.40. Classification (NCBI taxonomy): domain Eukaryota; kingdom Metazoa; phylum Chordata; class Mammalia; order Primates; family Hominidae; genus Homo; species Homo sapiens. The sequence continues at coordinate 83,259 of NT_187514.1, read as the reverse complement.
TAAACTTCCCTCTTAGTACTGCTCTTGCTATATCCCATAGATTTTGAGATGTTGTGTTTCCATTTTCATTTGTTTCAAAAATTTTTAAATTTTCTTCTTTATTTCTTCATTGGCCCATTTATCATTCAGGACCATGTTGTTTAATTTTCATGTATTTGTGTAGTTTCCAAATTTCTTTAGTTCTTGATTTCTAGTTTATTTCACTATAGTCAGAAAAGATACTTGATATGATTTCTACTTTTGTGAATGTTCAGACTTGTTTTGTGGTCTGATGTATGGTCTGTCCTGGAAAATGTGCCATATGTTGATGAGAAGATTGTCTATTCTACAGCAGTCAGATGAAATGTTGTGTAAATGTCAGTTAGGTCCATTTGGTCTAGAGTGTAGTTTAACTGATGTTTCTTTGTTGATTTTCTGTTTGGATGATCTGTCCATTATTGAGAATGGGGTGTTGAAGTCCTCTACTATTATTATATTGAAGTCTATCTCTCCCTTTAGATTTATTAATGTTTACTTTATATATTGAAGTGCTTTGGGATTGGGTACATTTATATTTACAATTGTTATATCCTCTTTGTAAATTGATGTATTTATAATTTCATAGTGACTTTGTGTCTTTTTATAGCCATTGACTTGAAGTCTGTTTCATCTGATGTAAGTGTAGCTATATCTAGTCTTTCTTGGTTTCTGTTGCAAAGAATATCTTTTCCATCCCTTTACTTTCAGTCTACATGTGTCTTTACAGGTGAAGTGAGTTTTTTGTAGGCAACATATGGTTGGGTCTTATTTTTTTTATTCGTTCAGCTGTTCTATGTCTTTTAATTGAAGATTTTAGTCTATTTGCATTGATTGTTATTATTGATAGGTAAGGACTTGCTATTGCCCTTTTGTTACTTGTTTTTTGGTTGTTTTGTATAATAACTCCTGTCTTCCTTTGTGGTTAGGTGATTTTTGTTCCTGGTTGTATGTTTTAATTCATTGCTTTTTATTTTTAGTGTATCTATTATAGGTTTATGCTTTTGTGGTTACCATGGGGCTTACAAAAAAATCTTATAAATAAAACAAGTTACTTTAAACAGAAGATAACTTAGCTTTGATCACAAAGAGAAGAAAAGAAACAAAGGAAAAACTAAAAAACTCTACATGTTAACTGTATCTCCCCACATTTTGGCTTTTTCTTGTTTCAATTTACATCTTTTCATATTGCCTCTTAAGTTGCCATAGTTGTAATTACTTTTGATAAATTTGTCTTTTAGTCTTTATACTAGAGATGTGAGGAAATTATACACCACAACTACAGTATTAGATTATTCTGAATTTGTCTGTGTATTTACTTTTCCCAGTGAATTTTATACCTTCAAATATTTTCTTCTTGCTCATTAGTGTCTTTTTCTTTCAGTTTGAAGAACTCGCTTTAGAATTCTTGTAAGATGAGTCTAGTGGTAATGAATTCCCTCAACTTTTGTTTATCTGAAAAATACTTTATTTCTCTTTCATGTATAAGGGAAAGCTTTGCTGGGCACAACATTTTCAGTTGACAGGTTTTTTTTCCTTCAGTGCCTTAAATATATCATACCACTCCTTTCTGACCTGTATGGTTTCTGCCGAAAAGTCTGTTGCCAGACACAACGGAGCTCCTCTCCTTTACGTTATTTGATTCTTTTACCTTGCTGCTTTTAGAATCCTCTCTTTGTCCGTGACCTTTGAGAGTTTGATTGTTATATGCCTTGGGGGTGGTCTTATTTGGATTAAATCAATTTGGTAATCTCTGACCTCCATATACCTGGATATTTATATCTTTCTCTAGGTTTGGAAAGTTTTTAAAATTATTTCTTTGAATAAGTTTTCTACCTGTTGCTCTTCTTCAACTCCCTCTTCCGTGCTAATTACTCTTAAATTTGCTCTTTTGAGGTTATTTTCTCTATTTTGTAGGCTTCCTTAGTTCTATTTAAATTTATTTTTCTTTTTCCTCTTCTTACACTGTATTTTCAAATAACCTGTCTTTGAGCTCACTGATTCTTTCTTCTGCTTGATCAATTCTGCTGTTGAGAGCCTTTAATGAATTTTTCAGGTCAGCAAGTGTATTTCTCAGTTCTAGGATTTCTGTTTTTATATATATATATTATTTCAATCTCTTTGTTAAATTTCTCTGATAAAATTCCTCAACTACTTTTCTGTGTTATCTTGAAGTTCACTGAGTTTCCTTAGAACTGTATTTTGAATTCTCCATCTGAGACCTCACACATTACTATCTTGTTAGGGTTGGTTACTGGCTCCTTGCTTTGTCCACTTGGGGAGGTCATAACTATGACCTGTTTGCTGTGTTGTTTCTTGTGGACTACACCTATGACTGCATTGAAGGATTAGTTATTTATTCCAGTCTTTGCTGTTTGGTTTGTTTTTGTCTTTGTGGGGTATAGAGTATGTTTGCTTAGATGTTCTCTGCAATTGCCTCCCAACGTCCCTTAATCTTTTATCTCTTCCTCCTTTTTGGCACTAGATGGTGCCTTACACTCAGAATTGCCTCAGCTCTTGCAAATATTCAGAGCGCAACCTATCCTAAATTGGGGGAAGGGTGTCCCAGAGGGGATATCCAGTTGTTTGGGAAGGATGATCCAAAAGGGGATGCCCCAGCTAGATGGGAAAGCTGGTTCATGCCCAGAAGACCCATGAAGCCTGTCTCCTACAATGTGGTGCTGCTGAACAGCCACTATGATTTGACTTTTCCTTTGGCTGAGATAAAGAGCAGAGTTTTTCAGGTGGGGTTGCTGGTTTTGCCTCCTGCCTTTGTTTCTGGCTGCCCCCAGTGGTTTTTCTCCCTACAGGCACTTGTGATGCTTCCCATGGGTTGTGGCAAGAATGGCTTTTCTGAAAGGGAAGCCAAGATGGCAGGAAAGCTGGCTGTTTATCTTGATCTCACTTTTTCCAGTGTAAAAACTGTGAGTACAGGAGGAATTTTCCATACACGATGCCTGGCAGATTGAGGGAGAGGTGTTGTGGATACAGAAGTCCATTTCTTTTACCATCTGCTCAGAATTTTTAATCTTTCTGTGGTCCCAGGGATTGTCTCAGTCTCATATTTGAGTTTTGGGACATTGCTGGTTGCAATCTTTGCACTGGATATATATATATATTTGGTTTTCTGTGGAGGAGAATGAAGCCAGATTGCTTCTACTCTGCCATTTTGGTGACATCACCCTGCTTTTCATATATTAAGCCGAATTTGCATTCTGGATAAATCCTACTTGCTTATGGTGTGTAATCTTATTCACATTCAGCTTATTAGTGTTTTGGTGAGGATTTTTGCATTTATATTTGTAAAGAATATTATTCTACAGTTTTATTTACATATTAGCTCTTTTTCTAGTTTTTGTATTAGAAAAATACTGGCCCCACAGAATGAATTGGATAGTGTTTCCCTTTCTATTTGAACAATGTAGTTGTCCTAGTTGAATAAAGGATTGGTGGCTTACAACAATTGGGGCCTTCCACCCTTTTGTTACCCCTACCTGCAGAATGGACACTTGCCTCTCTTCCTGTGATTCTGAGACCACTCAAGTGAGAACCCAGGGTTAAATCCCCAGTCAGACTGGATTCTTCCCTCCCCATGTCCTACATTTTTCCACTCCCAAGTCCAGAGTCGAAGAGCAATTTTCCCACATATCTTTCCAGTTTCCTCTTCTCTTTTCCCTTTGCCCTGTCCTGCTCCAAGCCTCCGCTCACCCCTCACCTGTATTATTTCAAACGTTCCTCACAGGCCTCTATGCTCCCCCACCTCTAGCTGCTCTGCAGAGACAGTTTTCTAAAACCCCAATAAGAGCAAGTGGTGGCCCTGCTCTGTGTCCTTCTCTGACACTCATTTCCTGAAATTCAAGGATTCCAAAAGGCATCCACTATGCACCCCTTATATCAAGGTAGGGCTTCTATATCCCCAGGGTGCCTAGAGGCAGGAGCTGAAGCAACCAGCCACTGGCACACTTCTTCTTGGAGCTTTCTAATTTAGTACTTCAAATCTATGCACATTTTCCTCTCTATGATTTATCCATGGTGTTTTAAATATTAAGTAATGGGCATTTCTCTGATCTTGGAGAAAGATGACACTCTGGGAAGATGCTCCGTGCCTGCTCCATGGCTCGCTGCTGTGTATTCCCCAAGGAGACAAGGAATTAAAGTGTCAGATGGGGACACCTTCTTGGATGTTAACTTTACTATAAGTTCAGGAAAAAATGCCCTTTATTACTTACTAAAACAGTCATGAAAAAGATTTCCCCAGGGATTGCACAGCACCCAGTCTTCTCTGAGCAGACCTCTGACTAACTTCCCCATATCACCATCCACCACTTCATCTCTTTGCTCCAAGCCTCATCCTCAGATCTCAAATACAGCTTATGCATACACAACATAAACAGTCATGCACACACCCACCCCACACACAGTACACTCTGGGGCTCAGAACATGACACTCCAAAGTATGGTGCTTTGGCATGCTAGGTACTTTGAATTAAAGGAGATCAGAAGGTCTTGAAAGCAGATTCTTTCTGACCTTCTCCTATCTGCCTGTCTCCTGCCCTTCTTTCTCCTGCAGAGTGAGTCTGAGTCATAGGAACCAGAATTCTTCTTCCCCAAGGTGGGTCATAAAACCTAGAACTCCTCTCCCACAAAGCAAGACATAAAACATAGGTCTTCTCTCTTGAAGACCTTCCTTCCAGAGGGGCCCTGCTCATACCCAGGGTATAGGGGAAGCCAACCTACACAGAGAAGCTGAGAGGAATCCCTCTCTCTCTCTCTCTCTCTTTTTGAGATGCAGTTTTGCTCTGTCTCCCAGGCTGGAGTGCAGTGGCACAATCTCGGCTCACTGAAACCTCCACCTCCTGGGTTCAAGCAATTCTCCTACCTCAGCCTCCTGAGTAGCTGAGATTATAGGCCTGGCTAATTTTTTTTTTTTTTTTTTAGTAGATACAGGGGTTTCACCATGTTGACCAGGCTGGTCTCGAACTCCTGACCTCAGGTGATCCTTGGCTTCCCAAAGTGTTGGGATTATAGGCCTGAGCCACCACACCCGGCCCCGAGAGGAATCTGAACAGACAGGACTTGCTGGGTTTCCCCCACTCAGTCTATTCCCATTGCATCACATCCTTTTGTTCAATCATGTTTCTACACAACTGCCCGTCTTCAACTATCCTAGGCATAAAAATAGACCATTTCCCCTGGGTGGTGGGGTCTTCATTTCCAAAGGCTCCTATGTTATGTAAAACTTTGATTAAATAAATATGCTATGCTTTTCTCTTGTTAACCTGTCTTTTGTTATAGGGGTATAGCTGTATTATACCTTTCCACCCCCTACACACACTATCTCTCTCACACACACACATTTATATACACTCACACACATACACACTCATGCACGCTCACATGAGCTCACATACACATTATACACCCCTGGTCAATCAACCCTACATCAGTCACCATTCCACGGACAGGGCATAAATATCTACACAGTCCCCTCAGGCTGGTGGAAAGGGACTAACATTAATTGAGCACCTACTATGTGCCAGACACCATCCTGCACCCTTTATATGTGCTGCCTCCCTTCATCTTCTCACCAATCCTTGTTTACTTACCTTATTTATTTTTTTTGAGACAGAGTCTCTCCCTGTCACCCAGGCTGGAGGGCAATGGTGCGATCCCGGCTCACTGCAACATCTGCCTTCCGGTTTCAAGCGATTCTCCTGCCTCAGCCTCCCGAGTAGCTGGGATTCCAGGTGCCCGCCACAATGCCCTGCTAATTTTTTTTATCTTTAGTAGAGACGGGGTTTCACCATGTTGGCCAGGCTGGTCTCAAACTCCTGACCTCGTGATCTGCCTGCCTCGGCCTCCCAAAGTGCTGGGATTACAGGCATGAGCCACCGCGCCCGGTCCTTGTTTACTTTACAAAGAAGTGAACCTGAGGCCCAGCAAGGTACCTTGCTTCAAGTCACTTGTCACACAATTCATGGGGTGCTGGGATGGATGGTTCCAAATTCTGTGGCTTGTTCCTTGCCCCACCCCATTTCCTTGATGAAGAGAAATTATCAGAGGATCAGCACCTTCTCTTTATTAGTTTGGACTAATGGAGTGAACTGCCCATTGGGTAATGATGATTTCACTGCTCGAGGTGTGTAATTGGAGGGGGTCTAGGTCCCTGCTGGATGGAGAGGGGAGGCCTGGGCACCTTCCAAGGTCCTGTGCCCAGAGGATATCTGGCCAGCATCTCCTGTGAGTGTGCCTTTTTTTTAGCCCGAGCTGTTTGTGTTTATTTCAGACCCAGCAGAATTTCTCATAAATCTCTCCTGCTCCCTCAACTGTGCTTACAATAACCTTGAGGAAAAGATGCTTCTTCATGTACAAATCTTCTTCTAGGCTATTAGGTCTTTCTGAAACTTAAAATACCACTTGGGAATGAACAGAAAAGCTGAGGCAGAGGCTGTTTCCTGAGTTTTGGCAGAGGCAATTATCTGGGTGGAAGCCCCTGCAGGAGTCCCCCCACCCAGCCCCACTGCCTTCCTCATCCTCTGCCTTCTGGGCCTCCTGCAGAGAGGGACGGAGAGAGAAACCTGGGCCAGGCTTAGTATGAATCCCAGTGGCCGCACTCCCCAGCTGGGTGACCCTGAGTCTCAGTTTCTTCATCTATAAAATGGGATTGTAAGAGTCCCTTCATTTAAGGGTCACTGTGAGGACTGAGAAGAGAAGGGACATGGGAGGACAGGCCAAATTCTGGACACGGGAACTATGTTGTTATGGTCATGGTTTCCATTACCTTTAGTGTCTGACACCTCAGACTGTCCAAGTCGGACTTTGGATACTGCTTCCCAGATGACAGCTTGTGTATTAGTGCATTTTCACGCTGCTGATAAAGACATACCTAAGGCTGGGTAATTTACAAGGAAAAAGAGGTTTACTGGTCTCACAGTTCCACATGAGACCTCACAATCATGGCAGAAGATGAAAGGCATGTCTCACATGGTGGCAGACAAGAGAAGAGTGAGAGCCAAGAGAAAGGGGAAACCCCTTATAAAACCATCATCTCTCGTGAGACTTCCTCACTACCACGAGAACAGTATGGGGGAAACTGACCTCATGATTCAATGATCTCCCACCCAGTCCCTTCCATGACATGAGGGAATTATGGGATGTATAATTCAAGATGAGATTTGGGTGGGGACACAGCCAAACCATATGAGCTGGAGTCTGATTCTTTCTTCAGAATTACCTGCAGGGCTTTCCAAATGCAAATTCCTGATCCCTACCTCAGGAGAATCTGATTCCTCGCTCTGGTATGAGTCTGGGGAATCTGTATTTTGTTGTTGTTGTTGTTGTTGTTGAGACGGAGTCTCACTTGCTCTGTTGCCCAGGCTGGAGTGCAGTGGCATGATCTCGGCTCACTGCAACCTCTGCCACCCAGGTTCAAGCTATTCTCCTGCCTCAGTCTCCCGAGTAGCTGGAATTACAGGTGTCTGCCACTATGCCCGGCTAATTTTTGTAGTTTTAGTAGAGATGGGGTTTCACCATCTTGGCCAGGCTGGTCTTGAACTCCTGACCTCATGATCCACCCACCTCGGCCTCCCAAAGTGCTGGAATTACAGGTGTGAGCCCCTGCACCCGGCCTGAATCTGTATTTTAACAAGGCACTAGGAGGATTCTGGTCTTGCTGACTGCAGCCCACATGTCTGTGTAAGCTCACACTCTCTGCAGATGCAGGCATGATCCCTGCCCTGAGGGCACTGCAGGACCAGTTCTGGGTGCAGGCCTCCCCTTTGGGCCTCCTCGGCTGCAGATCCTCCTCTGAGGTCTGAGTGGAGCTTGAAGAATATGACAACCACAGCCCATGAAGCCCTAGGTGGTGCCCTGGCCTGAGCCTCTCTCCTCAGTCCCTGGCCTTGGGTACTGGAGAGGGCATGAGCTCTGGAACCAGGCTGCCTGGGGCTTGGATCCTGCTCTGTCATTTATCAGCTTGTGAGGCAGCTGCAACCTGGGGGTTAGAGCATGGGCCCTGACATCAGATGGCCTGGGGTCGATTCTTGGCTCTGCCAAGACAAGCTCTGTGACCTTGACAAGTCGATTAACCTCTCCGTGCTTGTGTTCCCTCCTCTATAACGTGGGAATCACTGTTGTCCCTCCTTCATTAGGAGGTTTGTGAGGTGTGAGTTAACACACACAAATCACACTTGGAAGAGAGCCTGGCCACAGGTAAACACCCAAGCAGTCTTGGGTATGGTTATTAGTGTGGTGTAACCTTAGCTACTCATGCCTAAATGCCTTGAGCCTCAGTTTCCTCAACTGCAAAACAGAGAGAACAATGTCCCCCTTTGGAGACTGGTGTGAATATTGATGAGATGAGACCTGTAAAGTACCTGAGCTCCTGGCACCCTGACCATTAAGACACATGGTGGGACTGTAAGCTTTGTCTCCAGCCCCTACTTCTATGCCAATGACTCATTATCTACCTGTCACTCACAAACATCCAATTGTCTCCAGTTTCACCTGATGATAATAATACAATCTTCCCGTGGGCTTATTAGAGGCACATGAGCAAATGCTCACAAAATGCTCAGTGCAAGGCTGGGCACCTAGAAAGCACTCAGAAATGGCAGCTTATTATCATCAGCTAGGGTGCCGGTCCACCCCTAGGAGGGTGCGGTGGTCAGGAAGGAAACCCAGCCTCTGGTGTCAGTTCTGCCCTGACAGGGAGTTGATTGGGGTAAGGTCCCTTTCCCCTAGTGAGCCTCAGTGTCCCCATCTTTAAGGTAGGCATTGAGCTGGAATGGAAGGCCTGTCTCCTCTGACTCTCTGAACACAAGCGTCAACCATCACCCCAGTTTGATCCCTTTCTCGTCTGGCCCTTGTCCTGTCTCCTCACCTCTGCTGTAGGCTCAAAGAATAAAATAAACCTCCTGTGGTGAGTCCCACACCAAGGAGGTCATTTGAATCCTCTGGTCCACACTGAGAGTGAGCCTATCATCTCTCTTAAAGTATCATGAGGACTCCCAGGACAACCAGTTAAATGCTCATCGCCACAGAAACCCTCACCACTCTCCAATTAGCTTCATTTCAGTCTGGATTCAGCTCATTGCTTTGACTAGGCATGGGTGGGGACTTCCAGGAGGTCACAATGGAGGGGCAGAGATGGGAAAACCATGCTCTGTGGGATCTAGCTGACAGTAGAAGAGAAAGGAAATCCACATGTGTTGAGTATAGGCTTCGTATGTTATTACGAATAAATCTATTTCACACATGAAAAATAGAGGCTCACAGAGTCATTTGCCTGAGATCACACAGCCAGTAAGAGATGGAGGCAGGACACAAACACACCTGGGTTCTCTTCCTTGAAAGCCATTCTGGGATTTGGCCGTGTGAGGCTCAGCCTGTTCTTTGGGGAAGCAGATCCTTGACTTTCCTGCCTCTGTGAGCAGGTCTCTGAGTGGCAGCAAGACTCCTCGAAGAGGCAGAAAGCAGAGCTTGCCCTGACATGCCCATCTTCTGAAGCTGCGGGGCTGCTGAGCTAGAAAGATTCTTCTAGAAACTAAATCCAGCTCCAGACTGGTCCTTGGGCAGAATAACACTCCCGGACCAAGCTGGTCAGTTTCCCCAGGTCTGATCCTGTTGGGAAGTGGTGCTGAGTGCTCCACGGTAGCCTTGCCTTGCCTTCTCCTTGGGAGGAACTCCTGCATGGTTCCAGGAGCACTGACTCTGGAGACAGACCTAGCTTGTCCAGGATCTCAACACCACTACTTGTAAGCTGCGTGGCTTTGGGCCAGTTGCCGACCTTCTCTGAGCCTCAGCTTCCTCTGATAGCACCTGCCTTGCTGACTTGTTTCAAGGGTTCAGATGTATGTAAAGTAAGGGTCAGTTACTCTCTCTCTTTCTGTCTAACATCTTTTAATCATCGGAAATTGGCTTCCCTTCATGGCCCTTATTACAAATGGGCCATAAAATATTTTGTGTAATTCCCTGTTTATTGTCAACCTTCCCCAAGAACATCTGTAAGCCCCCTGGCTTGTGAACCTAGGGAGGGAATAAATGAAGGGATGAGTGATAGAATCTCTCTTCCTAACCTTAAACCCTCCCAAGGCTACTGTACTCTGCTCCAGGCTCTTGACTTCTGCATGCTACCTGCCTCCAAGAAAGACATCTGAGTTCTAGAAGAATCAAGCATGGACCTGGGATCACCAGCCCAGACCTCTGGCCCCTCACTCACTCCAGTGTTCTCCCTAGAGGAGAAGGTGGGTGCTCCCACCTCTGCCTTCCCTGCTCCTGCCTGTGAATACAGACACATGTCCCTACCCTCTGAGCACTGAGACGTGCAGCCCACACTACACTGCAGGGCAGGGCACTGGCTTACTGGTTTTAAGGAATCGACTGGGCTGAACCCCATGGGTTTATTTTATTCTTTGAGTCTTTTCCCCGTGCGTGGCCCCCTCATCATTGTCAGCAATGAGAAAACTGAGGAGAGTCCCTGACGTTGGCTGCCCAGGTCTGCTGCAGCTGGAGAGTAAAGCGTTAAGCTTTTGGGGGGACTTTTTCTCACCCTACAGTCTGATTGTGGCTCAGCGAGCCTTCAACAGAGATAGACAGTGTGTGTAAACTGAGGCCTCTGCAGTGCAGCCTGCATAGGAAATTTCATCTTGCAAGATTTCCTGCTGCTGCAACCTGGGGTTGAGGCCTCCAGGAGGCTCTCAGGGTGGACAGAGGGAACTGCAGTTGTCCCTGTCATATCACACATGGCCCTGATCCTAGAAGGTTAGAGCAGGAAGGTGCAGCTCCCCCATGGATTGGTCAACAGCTCCATTCACACCTGCTCTGTGGCGGGACTGTCCCAGGTTTGGAGGCCACATGAATGGGTTGGAGATTGCCTCTTCCTTCAGAGAGCTCTATGGGCTGATGGATGAATCCCAAATCTAGGCTCAGAGAATGGGTGTAACGCAGCCCAGGCCCCACAGCCAGGCAGTGGGTGGGGTTGGGACAGAACCCAGGGCTCCTGACACCCAGGCTGCCCAATCGGGACTTACTATCCAAGGTGCCAGGCCAACATCACGGATCAGGGGACATTTTCTAGGGCGAGATCTTTTCTCCTGATAAGAAGTGTAGGTGGAGACAGAATCAAAAGGAAAAGGACTTGACCAACCCCTGCACATGGAGGTGCCAGGCACCTACTCACTGCTCCTTTTCCAGCTCTATCAAACTCTGCCCTCTAGAAACGCCCTGTACCCGTTAGGAACTTTCAGGTGAAAGCTGACAACAGATTGGCTTAAAGAAAGGTAGGAATTAACTGGCTCAGCTGGCCTAGGCCTGCAGAGGTAGGTCTGCCCAGGCTTCATTTGGCCCAGGGCTTCAGGCTCTGGCCCAGGCCATGCACCCCTATGCTGCTTCATGACTCTGTTCATTCATTCTTATTGTGCCCTTCATCTGGGATTCTCATCCCCACCCTGCTCCCCACCCCTCATCCTCCAGATCCCAGCTGAAGCCTCGCCTTCTGCAAATGTGAAATGAGTTGCTTCTTCTGGGGGTCCCCCTGGCACCTTATTCCCACCACCATTTTGCAGCACCATATGGTCAGGTTTTCTTATTGCACCCCCTCCACCCGCAAAACACACAGAGTTTGCCAGTTCCTTGAAGGCTTCGTCTGGACAAGTCTTAATTAATTTCTCTGTTCTCAGCCTCCAGGTACTGCCTGGTTTAGAGCAAGAGCTCAATAAATATTTGTTGAATTAATGAAAATGTTTGTGTTGAAACATGACTTCAGTGAAGTTGTTTGCATTTTAACAAATGACAAGGCCCCAAGCCATAGGACCGGAGCTCCAGTGGTGGAACTCCAGGCACCAGTAAGCTAGAGACAGAAGCTTTCTCCATTCTTTAGTGCCTGGGGGAGGAACTGGCTGTCTTGGCAGGTGGAATTTTCCATTCATGACTTTCTAGCGCAAAAACAGTCACATTATCTCCTGAAAAACACTAATGTGCGGCGGAAACAAATGCGTTTCCCCTTCAGCTTGCTGGTGGGAGGAAAATTCTTAGCCCTGTTGGATTTCCCTGCGCTGGTTCCAGTTGACAGAACGTTCCTTTCTCACATGCCCATGGTAATGTCTTGGCTGGCTCTCCCTCCATCCCCACTCCCTGACCCCACAGCCTCTGGGCCCCACCTGCCAACCCAGCTCTGCCTGGCTGGGGAGGCTCCCATGTTAATTGGGAGTTGAAAGGAGGCTTGTTCTGCAGTTCAGACATTTCCACATCAAAACCACTGGCCTGGCTGCTTCTCCCCACCTGACCTGGGGCCCATCCTGACCATTTGTGACCTCCCTGGCCCTTCAGCTGAGCCCACCTCATGCCCCAGCTCTGCACACTGAGCACTCTCTCTGCCCTCAAGCTCATCCCCTCCAGCCCACCCTCCGGTCCACCCCAGAATGCCCCTCAGCAGCACAAAGCTGGCTGGTTCCCTCCCAGCTGGAAACCCTTCCCAGGCTCCCAGTGCCCTCAGCTCACAGCCCGTGCAGAGGCACAGACATCAGCCAGGTGCAAACCAGCCACCAGAGGGAAGAGCATGTGCAAAGGCCCTGAGGCTATAGCGGGCTTCACTTGCTTGAGGAACAGCAGGAAGTCAGTATGGCTGTAGGTTGGTGAGTAGCGAAGAGGAAGGGGGACAAGGTCAGAGGGGACAGACATGGGAGGGGCTTGTGGGCCATGCCAGCAGATTTGGATTTTCCTTTGAGTAAGACCGGAAGCTGGGGAGGGCTGGGAGCTGAGAGGAATGGGATGTGCTTTACCTGTTTACAGGTTTCCTCAGGCCTCTGGGAGGCCCATGACTGGGGAGGGCAGGTCCACGTGGAAGCTGGAGGATGGTCAGGAGCCTGGACTTAGCTGTTTCTGCCTGTGGGCCCCTGACCTCACCTCCTCCAGGTATGGGGACCTTCCTCATTCTGTTGACCCACCTCACAGGATTCAGCCCCTACTCCTGAGCCCACTCTGGCCAGGCCCCTACATCCTCCCCAGCCGTGAGCCGACTCTCCAGAACCTCGTGTCTGCCTTATCTTCTTGCTGCCCAGTCCTGGGTTCTCCTTTCCTGACCACAGTCACAGGGCTCCTGAGGCCACCCCCAATACCCAGCTTTCTGGAGCCTCTTATTTGCCTGTGGGCCTAAGAACCCATAGCCACCGGCCAGATCTATCCTCCAATCTCTGCCCCAACTACGCGGGGGTGCCCGGCCCTGAAGTAGCCTGTGAGGGGTGGAAAGATTCAGAGCCTGTGTTTGAATCTGGCCCTGCCACACACTTGCGGTGTGATGTTAGTTAAGTCTAAACCTTTCTAGGTAGCAGTTTCCTTGTCTGTAAAATGGAGAGAACAATACCTACTCCAGGAGAGGTCCTGAGGATGCAACCTCACATACGGGGGCTCCTGGCAGCTCCTGGCCCCCAGCAGACTTTGCACTCACTTTGGTTCCTGTTCTGCTACCTCCTTCCTGGAAGATAAGAAGGGAAGCTCCTTCCCTCAGGTGACCCAGGAAGTCAAGGGGTCTGGATCTGTCCCTGTCTCCCAGAGCAGCGCTCTGGCCATGACAAACTGCTCTGTGCCTCAGTTTCCTCAATTATAAAATGGGAATAATAATCGTGCCCCCCTCCTCCAGTTGATGATGTGGGGACCCACTAGGTTGATCCACATGGAGCACTCAGGACAGTGCCTGGCATACTGTGACCACTCAACCACTGTGAACCGAGGCTCGAGTGTGGCCCCTGTCCCCTCCTGCTCCCCATCTTCCCCACAGTCTTTGAACATCCGGTAGAATTTAACAGCTCAAAGTGCCTCCAAGTGTCAAATTCAACACCCATATTTGGCATGTGGGAAACTGAGGCCCAGGGCAGGGAAGGATCAGCCCAAGGCTGGAGTAGGAGGCAGAGGTGGGACTGGACTTTCTGCCCACAGGTCCTTCTGTTGCCTCCTTTGGGGCACTCTGTGGGGCAAAGCTCGGCTGAGAGGAAGGATTCAAGGATTGAGGCTATTGCAATTATTGTTATTGTTATATCTACAGAAATGACAGCAGATCCCACTGAGAGCCAAGGGCCAAATGGGAGACAGAAAACTCAAGTGTAGGGGGCTCAGAGGAGCTGCTCCCCAAGAGGAGAGAGTGATTCCTGCCCAGGCACTGTCCTTGCCAACTCTCCCCAATGCTTTCCCTTTTTGCCAGCTTATTAATGCAGCTTTCACCCCAATAAACATAAGCGTGGCCTCGCTCACTCTGAACCCTCTGCTAGGCTGAGGGAAGTCCCAGATCCTGTCACCACAGATACCACTGAGTGAGGATCAAATAGAGGGTGTCAGGCATGGCACAACCCCTCACCCACACCATCTCATCCAGTCCTCCCACCCCACAGGGCAGGAAGGTGCAAAGCCCATTTTAGAGATGAGGCAACTGAGTTCCAGGGAGGATACGTCACCTGACCAAGCTCTGTGAAGCAGAAAGTCTCCCTGAGGAGGGAGCTGAGGCTGGGAGGTCCAGGAGCTCACCCAAGGCCAGCCAGCAAGGAAGGAGGGAGCTGGGACCCTAACACTCCATGCTTCTGACCTCAGAGCTGCAGTTTTGAATCCAGGCCCAACCCCCACCTCATCCAGTAGAGGCTGAGCCTCCTCCAGCCCTGATTCCACCCTGATCCCCTTGGTCAGGGCTGGCTGTTGGGAAAGGTTGAGCTTACAGGGAGTCTTTCGTAATTACAAATCAGATGACATCACCCTTGGCGAAGGGTCTTAGGTGTTATTGAGGGGACTCCAGCCTTGTCTGCTGAGGCAGCCTCATGACCACACACCAGCACCTGGCTAACTGCAGCCCAGGGTAACCCAGAGCCCCCGGGAGGATGCTGGTTCTCACGGGGAGCTGGAGCTGCATGGTCTCTTCAGGCCTCACTACTGCCCCTGTGGGGTGCACAGTGGGCTCCACTTTACTCCGCAGAGGCTCTCAGAGGTGAAGAGAGGCCCAAGCTCACTCAGCTGGGGAAGAGCAGAGTCATGGTAGGGCTGCCTGGGCCCAGAGCCCCAAGCCAGCCCCTCTGAGCTCTCATCCGGGGCAAGGCAGCAAGGTGGACACACATGTCTGCAGCCATGCCTGCTGCTCCCAGCTCTCCAGTACCCAGATGGCTCAGCAGCGATTGTTTCATTACTTAAGTCATATCCAGTAATTATTGCTCCTTTGGCTGGACTTTGAGAAATGATCTTAGCCACTGAGGTGGAAGGTGAATGAGGAATTGCTGGAGAAGAAGGAAAAGGGATCATCTTGATGTAAGTCGAGCTGGCTCAGGATGCAGAGAAAGACCTGAGGTCAGAGAGGTCGGCCAGGGGTCCAGGGCAGCGGGCTTCCAGCCCAGAGACTCCATCACTGACTCCTGTATGACTGGGGCAGGCCCATGACCCTCCCTGAGTCTTGACTCTCTCTAAGACACTCCATACCCCCAGCCTCATCAGCCCTTCTCCCACAATATTGGCCATCACAAGACCTAGAGCAGACCCAGCCGTTCATGACTGGATGTGTGGCCTCCCAGGTCCCAGCCTGTAGAGTCTCTGTGGAGGCTGCAGGGTTGGCTCCAGGCTATGAGGTGGGAGATTTGGGCTGAGGTCCCTGGACAGGCAGATGCGGAGCTTAGAAGACAGAACGGGGCCTGAACAAGATAGGAGCCAACAGCTATTGAACTTGGGCTTGCAGGGCTGAGGTGGGGGACACAAAACCGACCTGAGTCTTAATATGCAAATGAGTTCCATAACTGGACTCCTGTTGACTTGGGGAGCTGTGCAAAGCCACGCCCTTGGAGAGGCTTCCTGCTTTCTGATGGAGTCACTCCCTGCACTTCCAGCCACATCTTCCCTTGATGATCCTACCAAAGGCCACTCCTCTCTGCTTCCCAAAGGTGTCCTGGGCCCCACTTCCTGGCTGTTCTTCCTGCTGCCTCCTCCATTTGGAATGCCCTTCCCTCCATCTGGAATGCCCGTAGGACGACCTACAACCCATGTCCCCACACTGCTGTCTGTTGAAACACCACGTATATGGAAAGTCCTGCTCACAACAGACCTTTCCCTGACCCCTGCCCAGGTCCCGCAGCCACATGTCGCCTCTGCCTCCTATGCTCCAACCACACAGAGGACAGAGATAAAATTCTCCTGGGGTAGCACACAGGGCTGGCTGCAGACATGCACGCCCACAAACCGGGCCCTGCCACAGCAGGCTCGCGGTCAGAGCCAAGATAAAGGCCCCTCTGCCTTGGAAGCTGTGATTCTATGAATTTTGAAGTGGAACGCATAGTGCTTGTCAAACCCCAAGCAGGCCCGTGTAGGGAGCTGAAGGCTCTATGTGGTTGGAGGCAGTGAGGGGGTCTCTGCAGGAGTGGAAAGAGTGTGGAGGTGAAGCCAGGCGGACAGGGTTTGCACCTGGCCTCACACTGCCTGGCTGCGTGGCCTGGGGCCAGTCTCCTCCCATCTCTGAGTCTGTCTCCTCATCTGTGGGATGAGGGTGGTGATGCCCACTGACCCGACGGTTGCCTGACCCTCACTAAGGTGCTCAATCAGTGTGAAACTGATCGTCCCCGAGGACCGTTGCTTATGTGTTACTTGGGTGCCCACGATATTTCTGGCATGCGGTCATGTGTGAACCTACCCCAGCCCTTTTGAAGCCACACAGAACAGGACAACCCGGTTGCCACTGGGGCCTCAGGAGGCTCCGTCTCAACATGGTAGACAATGGGAAGAAACAGTCCAGCAGCCAAAAATAACCTGGAGAGGAATTTCTGCTTTTATTTCCCTCTTTCAAGGAAAATTAAGGGTTTATAGCCCTTAATATCTGGCTTATAGCCCCTGTAGCATTTCCTGAAGTCCCCACTTCTCAGAAGGGAAAGCTGCAGAGCCCTTCACGAAGCCACATCTGCAAACTATTCCCTGATGAGGAGCTTGCTGGCTCTTTCCTCTGCCTCCTCCCCTCTTCGCCAGCTTCTCCTGCTCCCTCCCCAATCTTCTTCATTATACAGATTAGTTTATCTTTCCAGATCCTCTCCACTCTCGCCTCTCCTGATTCCGCAGTCCCCACGACTTTGGAGCCATCTCACAAAGATAATGTTCCCCTTTGAGGGCAGGAGAAGGGAAGAAGCGAGGTGGGCTGAGATAAAATTCTCCTGGGGTAGCACACAGGGCTGGCTGCAGACATGCACGCCCACAAACCGGGCCCTGCCACAGCAGGCTCGCGGTCAGAGCCAAGATAAAGGCCCCTCTGCCTTGGATGCTGTGATTCTATGAATTTTGAAGTGGAACTTTTGGTGCTTGTCAAACCCCAAGCAGGCCCAGGTGGGGAGCTGAAGCCTCTGTGTGGTTGGAGGCAGTGAGGGAGTCTGGGACCTAGAGAGACTGGCCAAGGAGGAGGGGCCTCCCCTTCCCCACCTAGGCCCCTTCACCAGGGCACACTGCAAGGCACCCATGTCTGTGCCAAGGTCTGTGCTGGACACTAGAGGTCTGAGTGAAGTGACTAGGACCTTGCCCCACTCACCCAGCCCCTGCCAGCTTCTGCCTCCACTCCTGCACGTGGCATGGGCTCCTGCAGTTCCGCTGAGCTCTGGAGGTGCCCTGGTCTGGGAGACAGAGATGGGGTGCACAAGCAGAAGCGGTGCTTGGAGACAGAGCTACAGTTCCATTCAAAGCAAAACAATGCCACTGCACTGTGATGACTGGTATGAGTCACTGTGATGCCTCCGAGCTGAGCCTCAGTGTTGTCACCTGACACTGACTGTGAGGAGTAAATGAGACAGTGCAGAAAGAGGACAGAACCCCATGAACCCAGCTGTGAGGCTCTGTCACCTTCTCCAGCCACGCCTCCCTAAGGAGCCCTGCTCTTCTGTGCACATCAGCGAACACCAGCACCACGGCTGGTCCCTCAGGGCAGGGCATGGAGGCCTCGCCTGCCTCTCCTCACAGGTCTTGGCTCACTGGTAGTAATGTAAGGAGCCACAAAGAACAGGGTGACCAAGTCATCCTCGTGGCCTGGGACTTCTCTGGTTTCAGCGCTGGAAGTGCCTCATACCAAGAATGCACTCGGTCCCTGCCAACTGGAAATGGTTGGTTACTTTACTAAGGGACAGAGTTGACCAGAGTAGGGTCTGGGCTCAAGCAGATGGGGAATTCAGGGAGCATTCAGAATTGAGGCCTCCCTCAGACTCCTCCACCGTCCAGGTGAGAGGGCACAGGTGGGAGTTTACCTGATTACCACACGGGGCCAAGGCAGGGCTGACAGACCCAGCCAGGTCTGCACGCTTCTCTGAGTATCCCAGCTTGAAACAGTGAAAGGAGCAGGTACTTACAGACAGAGCCACAACTCAATTCAAAGCAAAGCAATTCCACCACATTGTAATGACTCCATGGTTTACACACTCACTCGGTAGATTTCATGCTGCAAATGAATTCTTTTTAAAAAGCTGTATCTTTTCAGGAGTTCACGACTTTTCTCAATTTATCTCCCTTAACAGATCTTCCACAAGAATGAACAAGAGATGCTCTCATTTAAAAGAAAAGAAACAGAAAAGGTTATCAGCTAGTAGAGAGGAAATTCTGCTCTTAACATAATGTAGCTTAAAAGAAAATGCTGCATTTTGTCAAAGAGTCAGCGATGAGCCTCTTATCACATATTTGCTCATAAAGGCAGAAAGGAAGAATGCTAGCATGCCAGTGTCCCATCGTTAACGGGTGGAGGAGAAGAGCAGGCGGAGGAGGAGAACGATTTCTATGGGATTCTCAAAGTAAATGGGCAATTTTCATGCACATGGAGAATCTACTTCTGCAGACTGAGTTCAGGCCAGACCTGCTCTGTCAAAGCCCGACAGAGAGACCCGAGATGGTGAGGGCGGGAGAGGGACAGCGGAGGACCGTGCTATGGCTTGAGTGTGTTTCCCAAAGTTCCTTGTGTTGGAAACGTAATCCCTCATGCAACAGTGTGGAGATGTGTGATCTTTCAGTGATTAATGGATGAATGTGAAATGAATTCATGTCATTATGGTGGGAGTGGGTCTACTATAAAAACAAAGTAAGCCCCTTCTTACCCTCTCTCACGCACTCTCTCACCATGTGATGCCCTATGCCACATTATGACACAGCAAAAAGGCCCTCACCTAGTGCAGCCCCTCAGTCTTGGACTCCCCAGCCTCCAGAACCATGAACCGAATAAACCTCTATTGTGGATAAATTACTCAGCCTACAATGTTCTGTTTCAGCCACAGAAAATGGCTGAAACATTTGGGATTCTGGAAGGGACAGGCAGAGCGAATGAGAGCTGTGGAAATGATAACCCCTCCATGGGTCCAGACTTCACTGTCTAAAAGGTCACTCTAGACCCCCAGCTCAGGGTGATGCCTGCTGCCTTTGATCAGGTGAGTCTTCTGTGCCGGTGTTAGACACTTCACAAAGAATAACCAAGAGTTGGAGGGCAATGCATCATTTCATGAAAGAGGAAATTGAGGCTAAGGGAGGGGGAGGAACCTGCCCGGGGTCACACATCCAGCAGGCAGTGAAGCGGGACACCAATCCCAGATGTGGGACTGTGGAGCCCACAGTCCTGACCCCTGGGGTGTCCTGACTGGGGACTGGGGAGGGAGCCCGTCTATCAGGCGCTGGGCTGAGCATGTTACCTGGTAAAGGTTATCTCACTCCCTACTGCAGTCCTGGGAGGGGGCATTCTTATCCCCACCCCTGGCTCAGAGCAGTGAGGTCACTGGCCGCCCAGGGCCATGGAATCCTGTGCTTGGAGGAGGGTCCAATTCCCTCCACTCACGCGACACCCAGGGGCTCTTCCCTGCAGAGTGGCCCCTGGGACACAGCATTTCCCGAGCACCCTGCCCCTCTCTCCTTCCTGTGCCTGCCAGCACTCAGGCTCCCACCCACCCCTCACCCTGGTGCTGCTGTCCAGCCCCCTCCTGGGCTTGCTCTGCTTCCAGGCCCCTTGCTGGGCTCACCCACCATTACTGCAGCATCTCTGCCTGGTCTGAGAGGAGTCCCTGCTGCTGGGCTGATGGGAGAGAGGCTGGTTCACTCCTTCCAGGCAGTGTGAGCTTTAACAGGTGCTCCCAGAGACAGCGCACTCCACTGCAGTGGCCACACACAGCTTAAGAGTTGGACCTGGGGTACCATGTTGTCCAGAGGCATGATGCCCTGGTCAGGGGACAGAGGTGATGGGAGAGAAAGAGTTATTTATTCTTTGTGGGCTGCCTGGGGTTGTGTCCAGCTTAGGCCTTGACTTACTGTGTGATCTTGGACAGTAACTCCCCCAGCCCCTCTTCCCTTGCTGCCCCAGACCTCTCTGACTATAAGGTTATATGGTGGGTTAACTCAAGGGCCATTCCTAGCCTCAATTCTCTGGGAGCACCTGAGCCCTGGATGAGGGGTTCCACTACATTTCTGTAATCCAGGACGGCCTGGGCCGCTGGAAGTTCAGGGAGCTCACAAGAGAGCCCGAGAGAGGCCTGAGGTCCAGGCTACCATGCTTTGGAGCTGCCAATCCCCCCTCCTTCCCACTAGAGACCTCCTGTCATTGACTGTGACTCAGCTCTGCCCTCTCCCTCCTTCCCACTAGAGCCCTCCTGTCATTGACTGTGACTCAGATCTGCCCTCTCCACTCCATCCTCAACCCCAAGAGTCTTCACACCAATCTGCACCCCAGCTCCAAGCACAAGGCATTACAAGAAGGTCCAGTGGTTCCTACTTTAGACTACACAACAAAAGAAATGAAAACCCAGCCCACCGAGGCTTGGCCCCTGTGGGGATTTCCTTCCCCTGCTCCATCAGCCAGACAAGGCACCTGCATCGTGGGTCCTTCATTCCATGTGAATGGAAACCCCGGTCCCTGGCAGAAGTATTCATGCTTTGGTTGCATTTAAATTGCTGTTCTCTGGGCCATTTTCATCCCCTTCTTTTCCAGCCTCCAGCCTCTCATTTCTGGGGCTCCCAGCCCTCCCTCTCTAATGCACCCTTTTGTGTTGCTGCAAATTGCCTTCAGTTCCATCAAAGCAGACTGCCAGCTTTCCATAAAGTCCAAATTTCCTGGCCCTGAAGGAGAGGCTGGCTCTCCACCTTCTTTCCTTCCCTCCCAGCCAGGCACCAAGCCCTCATTGTCTCAGCCACAAAGGAGGAAGAAAGAGCACCTGGGACGTGACAGGAAGGTCTCCCCTGTGGCCATAAGAGCAACTCTCCATGAAGTGCATGAACCAGCCCAGTGGGCCCACCTTCCACGCGCACCCAGGAAGAAGAATTCACATGATCATCATGAAATAACATGGGTCATAACTCATGATCATGGAGCCCTTCCTGTGGGCCGGATGCCGAGCTGGGTTCTTTCAGGCACTCTCTTAGTCCTCACCAGAACTCTGTAAAGTGGGTGCTATGACTATCCTTACTCTACAGACATTGAGGCTTAGAGAAGTAATAAGCTCCCCCCAGTGGTCGGGTGTGGTGGCTCACGCCTGTAATCTCAACACTTTGGGAGGCCGAGGTGGGCGGATCACGAGGTCAGGAGATTGAGACCATCCTGGCTAACACTGTGAAACCCCGTCTCTACTAAAAATACAAAAAATTAGCCGGGCATGGTGGTGGGCGCCTGTAGTCCCAGCTACTCGGGAGGCTGAGGCAGGAGAATGGCGTGAACCCGGGAGGCGGAGCTTGCAGTGAGCCGAGATTGTGCCACTGCACTCCAGCCTGAGCGACAGAGCAAGACTCTGTCTCAAAAAAAAAAAAAAAAGCTCCCCCCAGTTCACACAGCTAGTAAGCAGCAGAGCATGTCAGAGCCCTGCATATGCTGATGAGCGAGCCCTGTGTATATCTAGGTGTCCCCACACCAACAAGCCCTGCCCATGGGCATTGAGAATGCACTCCTGTTTCACTGATGACACAAATTCCCATGTGCAGTGATGCATGTGCCCTCGTGGACACAGGTAATCCCGGTGCCCAGGTATCCCTGATGCAGCCTGGCCAGATGGCCTTTGGATTTAATGATGGATCCCAAAACACCCTCCACTTATGCCCCACTCCAGGCCCAGGGGGCTGCTTGGTAAAATGATCATGAATGAGTGAATGAGTGCTGCGTGATCATGAATGAATGATCTGAGTGCTCCCTCCCCACATCCTGGTGGCAGCCATGGGCACTAGAAGGACCCACAGATCTCCGCTCCTTCCTCCCCTTAAACTCATTTGCCCATTTATAAGCCTCTCACACCCACTGCCTAGGCGGGGAAGCCAGCCTTCCTCAGCGACAGAGACAGTAAACCGAGGCTGTCCTGGCTGAATCAGCTCCAACGTGGGCTATCAGGCATGTGAATTATGGGCTCCCAGCACTTCATCACCCTGAGTCACTGTCTTATCTTTATTCATTCTGGCAAATTAAATTAGCACTGCCTTTCTAATCTTTTCTCCAGAGCCACAATAGTGGCAAAGAGAGAACTGGGGAGGGGGATCTTGGCAGTTATTCTGGAAAGAACACCTTGCCAATCCAAGGGGGGTGGGGGGCAAGTCACCTTGTCTGGTGCAATGTCTGATGTACTTTTGATCTCGGCTCCCTGCCTCCAAGAGGCCCACTGCCTTGTAAAATGCCAGGCAGGCAGACCTCCTGGGGATGAGGTTTGGGGCCTTCCCCAGGATGAGACAAATTTCTTTTCTTCATTTCCTTTCACCACTGAAGAGGAGTCAGCAACTCTCCTCCAACTCAGCTGACCCGGCTGCAGGAATACGATCCCATTTCATAGAGATGGATGTGGAGGCTTAGAGGTGTCAGGACAGGAGACTCACCAGAGGCAGGAGCAAGTAAGGGTCATGTGGACCCAGGACTGTCGCCCCCCCATGTGGGGGTCCCTAGTGCAGAGGCTGCATCTTGTCCCTGGTGGGCACCCTGGGGGTGCTTGAGAGGCTTTGGGTTGTGCCCACCTCCGGCCGCTCATGGCTCAGCGATTAGCTGCCTAAGTGGCTCTGGGCGTAGGCTTGATGATCAAATGCTGGGCAGGTCTCTCTCCTTCCATCAGTGCATCTGGTTCAAAGCTAAGAAAAGAGAAGTAACCTGTGCTAGGTGCAGATGGATCCCCCTCCGCCTCTGTGTCACTAAGGGCACGCGGGTGGAATGCAGAGTGCGTCTTGGCGGCTGGACTTGGGAGAATTAACTTCTCCACTCAGGGCTTACATTTCAGGCTGCTGTGAGCAGAGGCAGTTGGTGATGAAGCGGAGCGGGAGGTGGGGAGGGGAAGGTGCGAGCTCCCAGCCCTGATGCTCCAGCGTCTATGGCTTCTCTGCTTCCTCTCCCCATCGCAATTTGTGTGTATATTAATCTCTCCCTATCTTTTTTCTGTCTTGCTATCTGTGTCTTTTTTCCCTCTCTGCTCTACACTCCATTTTTCCCCACCGTCTGTCTGAATTGTATCTGTCTCCCTCCATCTCTGTCAGGGTTTGCGTCGGGGCTCTGCGTGGTGTGTGTGTGTGTGTGTGTGTGTGTGTGTGTGTGTGTTTCTCACTCCCTGGGTGGGTGCCTCCATCACACTCATTTTTAGAGCCTTTCCCAAAGGTTCTCTTTCTCGTCCATGTGTGTTCGTGTGCACACACGTGTATGTGTTTTGTGTTTTTTTTAATGTATTTTGCTGCCTCTGTTATCCTCTTGGTGTCTTGTTCTCCTTGGTTTTGTTCCCCCCTCTCTGTGTGACTCTCTCCTCTCTCCACTCTTCTCTCTCTGCAGCTGGCCTCTCTTACCCCATCCCTCTTGTGTTTGCTCCCTCTCTCCATGGTGGGCTGGCTTTTCTCTCTCCCCAGCCTCATATTTACTGCTGATATAAACAGGGAAGCCTGGGAACCTCTGATTGGATGGCCAGTTCCAAAGGAGAGTTGGTCATGGTTTGGGGCAGGCAGGGAGGGGGATCTTGGCAGTTATTCTGGAAAGAACACCTTGCCAACCCAAGGGGGGCGGGGGGTGAGTCACCTTGTCTGGTGCAATGGGAAAAAAAATCAAAGCACAAGTCCTGTCCTTTCCACTTCTTGTGGGACCTTGGCCAAGTCACCAAACCTCTCTGAACAATTAATAAGATGGGGCCATTGTAAAAATGAGATGAGATGATAGGTGTAAAACAGGAAGCGTAGTGTACAGTGTGGGGTGCAAGAAATCAAGGGGTGAGTTGAGACTCAGAGGCAGCCCTGGCATTATCAAAGGTCTATGGGCTCCAGGTAGGGAGTGGGGGGAAGCTCCCCTGTCTGTCGAAGGAGAGGTGAACTCAGTGCTCCCCAGTCAGGAGTACCTGCTGATGCTGTGTGTCCTTGGGCAGGCTGCCTAACCTCTCTGAGCCTTTGTTTCTCATACAGAAAATAGAGATACAGCAGCCACCCTCCAAACCACAGGGTCATTCTGGAAACCAAGGCATATCTGTGAATAAAATGTCATTCACTCATTCAACAAATTTTTTTTGTGCACCTACTATGTGCTTTGAAAAGCCTGAACTGTTATCCCCATCCATCGACTGTGTGTGTTTGTATATATTGAGGTGACTCCACTTCACCTCCTTGTGCAGTACGTCCCTCCCACTCTGTGACCTGTGGGATGGATATGGGGACTCCTGCTCTGAGTGCAGACACGGCCTCCTGGGAGCTACATGCTTGGAGCTGATCAGGGACCACAGGCCCAGTTCTCATTAAATTCTTCACTCCAGCCTGTACTGCAGGAGGCCTCAGAAAAGGCAGATTTCATGAATGAAACATCAAAATGTTTACTAAGCAGTAAACACCTGACAGCAGTCCTGGTTTCCTGGATGAGGTGACAGAGGTGCCCGGTGGACCTGGTTCCTCTGGGTGCTCCCTCGGGCCCCTCTGGGCACAGCCCCACGGCTGGTGAGCCCCCCACCCCACCTGTCCCTGAGCATGGGGACCCGTGGGAGCCCTGTCTACTGAGCACCTCTGTGCGGGGACTCACTGAACATGGGGCAAGGCTGTGGTCACCTGAGGTACAGAAGAGGAGCCAGGTCACAGGGGCAAACCAGGACCCAGGGCCCCAGAAAGCAGGTAGTAGGGCCAAGCGAGGGCCGGGGCAGGCTAGCTCCAAGCCCACTGCAGGCCTCAGCTCTGCTGGTGGGTGGGGGTGAGGAAAATGCCAGGTGGAAACTTCCAGGCAGGAAGGCTAAACTGCCCTCTTGGGGTCGGGCAGCAAGCAGGCTCTTGACACCCTTCATCTCCAGCCTCCCACCTTCCCCGTGAGATAGCATCATCCTGTTCTCCACATGAGGAAACTGGGGCTCTGAAGGCGCCCAAGGCCACATGGGAGGGGGAGAGGACAGGAGACACGCGAAAGGGCGGACAGGCCAGGCCAACCTCTGAGGCCCCTTCTAGGGACAGGGCCAGTTCAGCTCTGATCTGCCTGATCCCCAGAGGGGTGAGGATGGAAGAGACTCAGAAGCAGAGAGGGCCTGGCAATGGTTACAGGCAAAATAGGGGAGGTGGAGATACACACACAACACTCACACCGCGTGCACTGACTAACATAGGCACACACCACTTACTTACGCACTGCTGGGCACTCCCACGGCACACACTCACAAAGCACATTTGTGTAGGTGCCTGCGCAGGCTGGGTGCACCCACAGTTCACGGCCCCCCAGCTGTTGAGGAGCCTTCCTCTGCTGACCTTGCTGCTCCAGCCTGGGCTCCACCTCTCTCTCTGGCCGGATCCCCACTGGCAGGCCTGGCTCCCACCCCACTGCCCATCTGCTCCTAAGGATGGGCTCTGTCTCTCCTTGTGACCCTCAAGGCCCTTCCTCTCCCTCCCTCCCAGGTGGCGCAGTTCTCTTTTGAGTCTCGTGTTCTAGCTCAGGCTCTCGCTTTGCCTAGGCTTCACATCATCTCTGCCTTTCTCTGTGTTTCTTTTATTCTAATCTATTCTCTGTCTCTATTTTTCCTCATTGTTGATTCACTCTCTGCTCCCCTTGAGTCCCTCTTGAACTGTTGGTTTCTCTGATCTCTGTGTGTGTGTCTTTCTCTGATACACACACAGTCCTCCCCGCTGGCTTCTGGCCTCTGTCCCTGTCCTCCCCACTGCCTCTGAGACCCGGCTCCACTCTGGGCAGCAGCTCCTCAGTGGGCCAGGCTCCAGGCATCTGCTCAGATCTGGCCCAAGGATGGAAGAAAACCAGCGGGAGCCCCTGAAAGTGGGGCGGGGGCAGACAGACAGGCCCAGTGGGAGGGGCCACCCAGGACCTAGGAGGGAAGGGCCACCCAGGACCTAGGAGGGAAGGTTTGATTTTCTAAGCACAGGCTTGTGGGCATTTAATGTTGACCATTCTGTGGCTCCTCCCACAGCCTGGCATCTCCCTCCTCTGTCCCTCCCTCCTCCAGGTTTGTCCCTAGCTTAACTCTAACAAGTGCCTGGGCCAGACCCTTACCCTGCAGGCAGGGACTGGGCCAGAGGAGGTGTGGGTCCTGCAGTGGAGGGCTGGTGGGCTGGGGATGGTCTGATGGGACTGTCTGAGACCAGGAGCTCTGCTCCTTTGGAGCCATGTCCTCTCTCTCCACACTCCCTCCTAACCCCACCAACCATGTCTTCTCTCCAGCCTTGCTCCAGCACCTTCTCCAGAGAGGACCCCAGCCCTCCAAGTCTAAATTCCTCACTATGAAAACAATCGCAGTGGTGGTCCCCAGCACACTGGGTTGGGAAGGATGAAGGAGTCGGCACCACAGGGCACCAAGCACTGACCAGGAGTTCAGTGAGTGCTCGGAGACCAGTGGATGCGAAGCAAGGAACAGGACGAGGTTCAAGGCCTGGCCCACGACGATGGCCTCTAGACCACTGAAAACAGTATCAAGCCTCGAAAATAACCTGCAATTCAGAGTAATTTAATATTGGCTGTGTCTGATCATAGCACATGCACAAGCTGTGCACACACAAGGCCAGGGAGAGGGAGAGAGGAGAAAAGGAGGAAGCAAATTAGCTTTGTCCAGGGCCCCAGGATGCTGCTGGATGCCGGGAGGGGTCCTCAGCTCTTGCTAGTGGCCACAGAGCCTCCTGAGAGAATCAAGCCTCTCTTGGGCCAGCCATGCGGTGCTGAGGGCTCAGTCTGGGGTCTCTCTGATGCTCCTGGTCCAGGGATGACCCCCTTCCCCAGCCCTCCCAGCCCCAGGGCAGAGGCTGCACCCTCAGTAGGGCTTTGCCAGGCTTGCCATCCTTCTGTCCTTAGCACTCGGCTGCATCTTATCTCCACCCTGCCCCTGGGCCTGGCTGGTCTCTGTGTGTGCCCAGGTGTGTTGTTTGTGACACCGCCTGACTGTGTGTCCCTTGCTCCTCCTCTTTTTCGTAGCCCGTGCTCCTCTCTGATCTTGCCTGTCTTACAAGGCACACTTTGGTCCCCCACCTGCTCCAGCAAGTCCCCTTCCCAGTTAGTCCCACCCCACACATGGGCCTCACAGGGAGTCAGAAGATCCCAGAGGCCAGCCCCCTGGGCAGTCAGACCTCCCAGACCACAGTCAGGTCCAGGCAGTCCCAGCACTGCTGTGTGCGCTGTGCTGTTTCCTTTTGTTGCTGAGCTTGTTTCCCTATCAGCAAAGCAGGGGTGACAGTGCTCCCTCCCTGGGCTGCTTGGCAGGGCTTACTGAGCTCTAACTGTGAATTCCACCAGCACACAGTAGGCCACAGTCTGGGCTTGTCCTCTTGATTGACCTCCCTTTCCCCATCCTAGTCTGGCTAAGAAAACAGAAGTCCAGACAGAGAAGAACTTTCATGAGGGTAAAGAATCTGTCCTCTGCAACTCTCGAGATAAGACCCTTTCCCAAATATTCTCTGGCCTGAAGAGCAAGCTGGGCATACTACCCACATGGGCCTGGGAAAGCCTTACTTCTGCCTTGAGGCATACAGTAGGAGCTCCAGCAAAGGCCCTTGTTATTCCTTCATCAGAGTAATAGCATAGACCAACCATTTATGGAGCACTGGACTCAACATTTCACTGGGTGCAGTTATTTAACCTCTCTGAACCTCAGTTTCCCCATGTACACCTTGGGTCATGATGCTTGCCTCACGGGGCTGCTGTGAGCAGTGGATGAGATCGTGGTCTGCCATATCGGGAGCTGGGCCAGTAGCGGGTCCTGTCTGTGTTTCCAGCAGCTACCCGGCTGTGCCTGGCCCTGTCCTGCTGAGCTTCGGGCAGGTCTCTTCCTGCCTCCTGGCTCACGGAGAAGCCCCTGCTCCCCTCTCTGATGCTGAACACCCTGCCTGTTCACCCTTCAGGGCTCAGCCTCGTCCTCCCCCATAAAGCCTGCCTGGACCCCAACCAGATGAGCCCTCACCTGGCTCTGAAGCTCTGTCCAGCCCCTCTACCAGCCTGAATCTGCCTCTAGGAATGACTGTGCTGACAAAATTCAAAACCATAAGTAAAATCCTGGGTGACCTCTGCAGAGTGTTCACTCACTGGGCACTGTGGTAAGCTGCATGCCACTGGGTCCTCACCATATACAACTGTCCCTATTTCAGAGCTGATGAGACCCCGGCTCAGAGAGGTTGCTGCTGTCTGAGGTCACACAGCAAGGAGGTGACTGAACAGGACCTGGGGAGCTGGCTTTTCTGCCACCCCTCCCTCCCAGCCCTGACCCATGAGTTCCTGAAGAACAGAGCTCATAACTGCCTGCCTTTGTTCAGCATCACCGAGACCACAAAGGCCCAGGGCTCAGCCTGGATGATGGAAAAGTGTGACCTCCATGGAGGAAAGATTCCTGGACTGCATGCAAGGAGATCTGATTCTGGCCTGGATTCAGCTACCACTTCTCTGGGTAGGTCACCAGAGTCATCTGACTTTGGGCAGTCACCTTCCCTCTCTGGGCCTCAGTTTTCCCGTCTGTAAAATGGAGGTGTGTCTTAGTCTATTCCGTGTTGCTATAACAAAATACTGTTAATACTGGGTAATTTTTAAAGAAAAGAAATTTATTCCTCACAGTTCTGGAGGCTGGGAAGTCCAATATCAAGGTGCTAGCATCTGGTGAGGGACTTTGTGCTGTGTCATCCCATGGTGGAGGGAGGAAGGGCAAGAGGGTATAAGAGCAAGAGGGCAAGTGGGGGCTGAACTCACTTTTCTAACAAGCCCACTCTGGCGATAACTAGCCCACTCCCAAGATAATGACAATAATACATTTGTGAGGGTGAGACCTCATGACCTCATCTATTCTATTCTTTCTATTCAACCCCACCTCCCAACACTGCTGCATTAGGGGTCAAGTTTTCAACACATGAACTTTGGGGGACACATTCAAACAACAGCAAGACGTCAGAGTCCAGGATAATTTCCCATTCTTTGCACCTGTTGTCAGCAGATGACATCCCAGATACTCCCTCTTCCCCTTAAGCCTGATTCTCCTGGGCCTCTAGCAGCACGTCAGTTGGCCTTACTCTGCTCCGGGCACATTCTCCCCTGATCCACAGACAGTGTGGTGTGTACCTCTGGGACCATCAACCTGGGGCTGGCTCCCTGCTGGGGGTCGGGACCAGAGAGGACATGAAGCTACAGAATAAGCAGTTTTTTTTTCCTTCTTTTGGTCTCAGGTGGCAAGGGATATAAAATATGTTTTTGGATTAGAATCAAGACAGAGACATGATGGAGTAGATTGCAAATGTCACATGAACTTTAAAGGTAAACACAAGTCTTCAAGGGTTCTTCCCCAGGAGAGGTTAAGTGGCATTGGTGGAAACAGATCTTTGGAAGCGTAAGGACAGTTGCTCGCCCCATCCCTACCCCTTAGCTGCTGTGCAAACTTGGGCAACTTGGGCCATCTCCCTGAGCCTGTTTCTCCATCTGTAGAACAGGCAGAGGTATTTTGAATGACTAGGAACTAGGGCTTAGGTTCTTGTGGTATGCAGCATAAGGTGTCATTCCTCCCATAAGTGTCTATTGGCGTGAGTTAAATGCAATGGGTTACAGGAGAAGAGAGGGCTTTATTTTAGAAAACAGGCACCTGGGGATAAAAACAAAAATGATTCTGAGGAAGGAGACGCATGCACCAGGCTCCTTCCATCCCCTACCTCAGGGCGGGGTTTCCAGTTTCCAGGGGAGAAGTGTGCAGGCCCGAAGCATTGCCATATTCAGGAGGCTCTGTGTGAGGCTCAGGACTCAGGCAGTGCTGCTTAGGGGGCCAGGTATAACCCAGGGTCAAGAGGTGGGACATTCTCCCCAGAGCAGGCCACGGATCCAGCATAGCCTGGGCCTTCTAGGGTTTTAGGATGAGCACAGTGCAGAAATTCCATGCCCAGCCCTCAGCAGAGGTGCAGGATCCAGGACACCAGCACCGGTGGCAGAGGCAGGAGGCCCTACTGATGGCCTGTTGGGGTGGGCAGTCCACAAAGAGGGCAGAGAGGATGGCTGAGGATGACACCTGAGCATGTGGGTGCCCACTATGTGTGCTTGGAGTAACTAGGGAGGTGGAGCAAGAGATGAGGATCTGCAGCATCTGGGTGGGCAGAGGTCTCTCCCCTGTTGCCAATGTGGTCCCTTTATTTTTTGCAGGCTGGGAAGGAGGATAATCTGTGCTGCCCAGAGCAGCAGGCTCTGAGGGATGCTGCGTTCTAAAAGATGCTGACAGGTGCTTCCCAAAAAAGGATTCCATGCTGAAATCTGCTTGGGTGACTGTATTAGATTTTCATCTTTCTTTTTGACTTGTTCTCTGTAACAAGCTGAATGTCTCGGGGCTTTTAGAAGCAAACGCTTCTCTTTCTGTCTCATGAGTCCATGGCCCATGGCCTAGGGTGGGGGGCTCTGCTTCAGGCTTCCGTGGGTTCTGGGGCTGCTCCTTAGGCCTGTTCTGAGCCAGCGGCTCCATGTTCTTCTCATGATCTCTCCCAGCCAAAATGTAAAGGGGGCACATGGGGAAGCAGGGGAAGCCTCCTCAGGCCCCAGCGGACAACTGGGAGCTGTTGCTTGTGTCCCATGGGTCAGCAAGAGACACGTCACAGCACCCAACATCAGAGGGACAGGGAAATGCGTTTTGCTCCACCCGGTGCTCTGCAAGGTCACATGACAGGGGGAGTGGGGAAGGAGCTGGGAGTAAAATCCCACCTGCCACCTTAACATCGCAGGCTGAGCCCCCTCTTGCAGATTCACCAGGCACCCAGGCCCCAGTGTCACCAGCGAGGGCCCCCAAGTCCTCCAAACTCCTTACCTTTAACAGCATTTAAACCAGCCTGAGCCCCTGCCCTGTGTGCTGTGGGGTGGCCGGAGGTCTCCCTAGAGTCTGCAGTTCCCTGGGGCTTCAGATTGTCGGATTCTCCTCCCTGTGGTTTCTTGATGCTGCTCAATTTTATCCCCCTGTTTCCTTGGGCTGCTGTCTCTCCACACTAAGCTCAGGGCCTGAGCTTGCAGATCCAGGCCTTTCCTCTGTCTGGCTGAACAAAGGGCCATCTATTTTGAGTTTCTACCCTTTAGTATTATAAAACACTGTTGAAAGTGGATGATTATGATTATGACTTGTTATTTTTTCCCCATACATGATAAAATTCTTTCCCTATCTGGCTGGTAAGCTAAAGAGAACACTCTAAAGATTTCTCTCCTGCCGGCTCCTCCTGCTGGAGCTGGCCCCAGGCACTGTGGAGAGTTCTCTTTCATCCCGCTGCACATGTTAGCACCTGAAAGGTGGACTTGGACAAAGCCACAGATCTTTCTTTGAATGTCTATTCCCTGCCCTCTGACCTTGGATGTGCAGGAAGAGGCATCTAGGATTTAGGGTTGTTGTGAGGCTTAAATGAGGGAAATTGTGTCAAGGCCCCTGGGCATTGGTAGGAATGCAGTCAGTGTTAGTTCCCCTCTTCTTTAGAGAATATCCTCACCTTAGGATGACCCTATAATTACTGTCCAAACCAGGACATCTGAGAGTGCAAGGCGACACTGCTGTTAACTACACTGAGGCTACAGGCAGAAACTGGGACTGTCTCAGGCCAAGTGGGACTTACGGTTGCCCTGTCTCGTCCAGACCTCAGCACAGACTCCAGCTCCTCCATTCACCCGCTCCCATCTCCGCACTGATGGCCCATGGTGACTGCATGGGGATTCCCCACAGGCTGCCTGCTGACCTTGGGACTTGATCATCAGTGGTGCCTTATACCTCTCCAGGGTAGAGTCTGCGATCAGGGCTTACATGCGGGCATGCTGTACTAACTCCAGCCTTGTGCTTCTCTGCTGGGAGCTGGTCCTTAGGTCATCTTCCTTGGCCCTTTACGACAGTTCAACTGAGGCCCCTGGGAGAGGTCCCTATCTGCAGAGCCTCCAGCCCCATACAGTAGCTGCCTACTCCAGGCCTCTCTGCAGAGCGGGCACCAGACTTCCCTGGACCAGCTGGGGTGAGGGTGGGCAGTGTAGGGACTGGAAAGAGCTGGATAGACCTGGGTGAGATCCTGCTCTGCCACTGTGTGACTTTGGGCAGATGGCCCCACCTCTCTGGGCCTCGGTTCCCTCATCTGTACAGTGGATCTAGTTGCGCCTCCCTCTCAGGATTGTCATGAGAACCTAATGGGTCCCTGGAAATCACCCAGTCTCATTTCTGTCTCCACAAGGTCAACAGTACCAGTTCCTGAAACACACACACACACACACACACACACACACACACACACACACTGCATGCAATCATATGTGCACATACAGCCACACTCACCCCTAGAATGTTTTTGCTTTTCTTGCTTCTCTCTGATTCACAAATATCCCCTTCCTTCAGGGGTGCCCCTCAGAACCTCCTCCTCCAGGCAGCATCCCCAGGATTCGCTAGAGCATCAGCTCCTCGGAGCACCCCACCTCTCCCCCTGCTACACTCTGCAGGTCTCTAATGGACCTTCATGACCCATGGGTCACCTTGTCCCACCATTGACTGACAGGTCTTTTGCCCTCTGGACTGTGGTCCCCTTCATGGAGAGACCTTATCCTGCCCTTACACAGGGGCCAGCCAGGGCAGAGGCAGAAAGAGATTCACAGGATGAATTAAATGGGACTCCTGGGAGGGAACAAAGGAGTGAGGACGACTCCAGATGTCTCTCCTCCTTCCAAATCCACGGGCTGCATCACACATTCAGATTGCATCGCCAAGGGCCACTCTTCAATTGTCTCCCCCAACACAGAGGATGCCTATTGCTCTGTCCGTCCAGGCAGTCCATCAGTTCTGGGAAAAGCCACTTGTTTGAGGCAATGCCAACCCCTCTCCTGACCCCCCAAACTCCATCTATGTGATCCTAGCGGTAGCTGCCATTCACCCTCCAGGACAGGGTCATGAGAGACCTTCCCTGGGAGCTTCCACATCAGAACCCAGGGTGGGCAGCTCCCACCTCTCTGATGTGACTCCAGGAAGGAGGACCCTGAGGTATGACCCATGGCTCATGACCTGTGGCTCTCAGCTTGAGCTGTGGAAGATGCCATTTGTGGTAGAGGAGGAGGCAGTGGACACTAAGGAGGCAATTTGTTTCTGAAGGAGGAAGCAAGCAAACTTGAGGGAGGGAGGAAGGGATGGAGGGAAGGAGGGGGAGAGAAAGAGAGAGAGAGAGAGAGACAGAGAGAGAGACAGAGAGAGAGAGAGAGACCCAGTGTTCCAGCCTGATATGGCTTGGCTACGTCCCCACCCAAATCTCACCTTGAATTGTAATAATCCCCACATGTCAAGGGCAGGGCCAGGTGAGATAATTCAATCATGTGATGGTTTCCCCAATACTCTTCTTGTGGTAGTGATTAAGTCTCATGAGATCTGGTGGTTTTATAAATGGGAGTTCCCCTGCACAAGCCCTTTTGCCTGCCACCATGTAAGACACGCCTTTCTCCTCCTTTGTCTTCCCCCATGATTGTGAGGCCTCCCCAGCCATGTGGAACTGTGAGTCCATTAAACCTCTTTTTCTTTGTAAATTACTCAGTCTCAGGTATGTCTTTATCAGCAGTGTGAGGACAGACTAATACACAGCCCTTCCCAGGATTGGTTATAAGAGACAATGCATTTCTTACCTGGCTTACATCATGTTTCTGTCACTTGCAGTCTAAAAGTCCTGGCTATCACACTGTGTGTGCACAATTCTTGGGTAAATTATAAGCTCTGTGAAGGCAGTGAGTGACCAGGCGCTGCTTGGCGTGGGAGGGCAAACAGGCAGTCTGTGGTCAGAAGACTCAGATTTCTCTCCTGACTCTGCCCATCCTCAGCCATGTGTCTTGGGCAGGTGATCATCAAAGCAATTCAGGGTTGAAAGAAGCCTCAGGGAACCTCAGATTGAACCAACTCACTGGTGGCTACTCCAAGATCAGACTGCAAAAGAGCAACACATTTTCAGTAAAACTCACTTTTCCTAACCATAAAATGAGGCCATGATTTCTAAGGGCCTCATTGATTAAATATATATATAAAATAATAGACCCCTACAATGTGCCAGTACTGCACTTGGCCATGGGACCTGACAATGAGCTGGACTTGATCCCTGCCCTCCACTCTGTGTGGAAGGAGAGACATCTGTTTTCTCTTGACCTTTAAGCCTCAGTCCATGAGCAAAGATTGGTCTAGAAGGGCCTTTTGTTGGTGGATTCTGGCTGTTACAGCAGGAGGATCCCATAGCACCCGGAGGTCTCCCCACACTTGCACTGGTTCAAACAAATTTCAGACCAAACTCCGAGGAAGTTGGTGGAGATGAGGCCACTTCTCCAGCTGGGAGCTCTATTCATGACTCACCTGCTGCTCTGGGGAATGATACTTGTCAAGGCTTATGTGGAGCCGTTAGCCTCCCACAGACCCCCTGCTCCCCACCAGACAGCCCTGGTGGCAGCTGACAGGCTGTTCCCCAGGAAGTGATGGGAAATTGCTTCTCCCCCCGCCTCTTTGACTGCTCTAGCAGTTGGGTGCAGCAATATGTCAGTCCTGCGAGGCCTGATAATGGAGCTGTCATGGTCAGACTGGCTCTAGGAGGTGAGCAGGGAGGATTCCAGGAAATTGTGGAGATTGCCTATAACATGGGCCACCTCAAATTAGGTTGCCACAGCGAGTGGTTTCAGACCCTGCAAATTGCATCTTGAGCTCCTCTTTCCCTGACCCTCAACGGGGTCTGTCACTTCACCTCTCTCGGCCTCCAACTCCTAAAGCACTCCCCGAGACCATTATCATTAGAGGCAGCCGGATCTGGGCTTGAATCCCTGGGCAGTAACTGAATGGTGTGTGACTACAGGCAAGTTATTTCTCGGTAGTGTAGAGGAAATGTGTACAATAATTGTTTTAATTGGGCCCATTTCTCTGACGAAGGACAGAAACTCAAATTGGCTTAAGCCAGAACAGAAAATTTATAGAATCATGTTACTGAGAAGTTCAAGGGAATTCAGGTATGGCTGGATTCAAGTGCTCAGGTGAGGTTGTCAGGCATCCATCACATCCTATCTCTTGGTTCTGTTTTCCTCTGACTGGACATTACTTCCAGGCAGCTCCTCTCCTCCTGGAGGCCCCAGTAGCTTCAGCAGAAGAAGAGCACTTTGCGTGCCCCATAATTCCATGAGAATCCCAGAATAAAGTCTCACTGGCCAGGCCAGGTTATATGCCCACTCTTGAAACTGAGGGTGGGACCAATAACACTGAAATAACAGTTGTTCTGGGAAAGGATGGTAGTGGGTCCTCATAAAAACGAGAGGAGCTGTTACCAGTGGAAGAGGGAGCAAGTGGAGGTTGCATTTATATGATCATCATAGCGCTCCAGGTATGGTGCTAATACCCTTGGTCTATGTAATCCATCTAATCCTCCAACAATGTGATCAGGTAGGCAGTATTATTGCCTCCATTTTATGGATCAGGAAACTGAGGCCAGAGAGGTTTGATACCTTTCTCAAGCTTGTCAGTGGCTGGCCTGAGATTTGAACCTGGGGCCTTGGACTTGAGAGTGAGTGTTCCAACAATAGAGTGCTGAAGAGGATCAAGAGACAACAAGGGAGTGGAATGCAAATGCCTGGCAGGGTCCAGTGCTCAGTTAATTAGGATTAACTGTGGGTGCACTGAACCCTCACTGAGGGCCTGCTGTACTGCAAGGGGCTGGGGTTTGATGCAGAAATGAGCAAGCAGAATTCATTACCCTCGGGAGGACACAATCTGCTGGGAATGAGGAGATACGTGGACAAATAACCATGATTTCACACCAGGATGGTAGGAAAGGTTCAAGGTGTTGAGTTCAGAGGTGGCTGGAGAGGCCCAATGGGTGAAAGGTCGAGGTGGGCCCCAGGAGGCTGCAGCAGCTGCGATGGGACCTGAAAGATGGGGTGGGAAGTCACGGTCAGTGGAGTTCCCTTTGTGCCAGGCCTTAGAGATCCACTCCAGCTAACCTATACCAGAGTGGGACTCCGGACCCGGGTGGCCTCACCAAATCCAAAGGCAGGACTGCAAGTGGAGCCCAGAACAGAGAAGGCTATGGTGTGAGCAGCACTGGGGTCCTCTCACATCAGGATTCCTCTCTCTTTCCTTGACTCTCCCACTTCCCCCTCCCACCCCCATCTCTCTCTGCAGACCCGATTTCTCCTCATGTCCAGGCACAAAAGCGAGCTCTATCATGAGCACCTGTTAAAGTTTACCTGTTAAAGTTCGAATTCCAAACTCCAACCTGTGGCTGCGATGCACAGAGATGCTCAGAATGACTGTGGGGCCCACTGCAAAAGGTGGCGCGTGGGAGAGGGAAGACAACCCAAGAAGGTCCCCATAGGAAGAAAGTCACCAACCCTGACACATAGGGAGGGCGTTCTGAAGACAGGAGGATAGAAAATGTGGTCAGGAACAGCGAATACACCTCTTGGGTGCAACTGTGAGAACCTGTAATGGGGTCTTGAGAGGTGGTCCCAATAGCTGTCCTGTCCTTTACACCTCAAACTTTAGGACTCCTTACTCCCAAGACAAAGCTACAGGTCACCTCACTCTCCCACCACCCTCAGATTAACTCACTCTCCACTCAATTCTCAGGCCACCTCACTACCCCCAACCCCCAGGTCACCTCACTCCCCCTCCACCCCCAGGTCACCTCACTCTCCTTCAATCCCCAGGTCACCTCAGCCCCCTCCAACCCCAGGTCACCTCACTCCCCCTCCACCCCCAGGTCACCTCACTCCCCCTCCACCCCTAGGTCACCTCACTCTCCTTCAATCCCCAGGTCACTTCACTCTCCTTCAATCCCCAGGTCACCTCACGCCCCTCCACCCCCAGGTCACCTCACTACCCCTCCATCCCCAGGTCACCTCAGTCTCCTTCAATCCCCATGTCACCTCACTCCCCCTCAACCCCAGGGTCACCTCACTCCCCCTCCATCCTCAGGTCACCTCACTCCTCCTCAACCCTCAGGTCACCTTGCTTTCTTCTCACCCTCACACCCACATGGAATCTAAGGGCCCTCCTGAGGCCTCCAAGGCCTTTACCTGATCTGTCCACCATCTCTCGGACCTCCTACGCCCTCCTCATCCTGCTGCAGCCTGACCAAGCTTCTGGGTGTTTCGTGACCATGCCCAGGACTTTCCAACTACAGATATCCCAGCTCTGAGTTCCCCTCACCTTCTGCCTGGAATGTGTTGTCTTGTGTCATGGGTTCATTTGCTGTGTCTCATTTCACAGTAAATGAAGTGAAATCCACAGCAGTAACTTCTGTGCTGTCCACCCTGGCCTCAGCACCAGGCATGGGCCCTGGTACACAGTAGGTGCTTGGCAAGTGCCTGCTGAAGGAGGGGTTGGTGGGTGGCCGGTGCGGAGGCTCTGACGCCTGTCCAGAAGGCAGGGGATAATGGCCTAAATGGGGCAGTGGATATGGGGAAGATGAAGGGGCCCAACATGAGACACATTTGGCAGGAGAGCTGAGGTCCCTGAGCATGGTCCTGGTGAGGACCGTGGAGGGGCCTCCACCTCTCTCAGCCTTGAATTCGCCCAACTGCCTTCAGGAGCCAACGAGGTGTCAGCCTCAAAACTGGCCTAAAATTCCTCTTTACATCTGGAAGGGGAAAACAGGTCCCTTCCTCACGGTGAAGAAAGCTCTGGCAGGGATCATTTCTCCTCCGGGGTCTTGGAGGAGCCCACAGTTCTACTGATTCACTCTGAGAGGGATGGTGGCCACCTGGAAGCCAGAGGCCTGGTAACTCAGCCCGCTCCTCCACTTACGGCTGCGTAGACTTGGGCAGACATTTCCCATCTGGGGCTCAGTTTACCCTTCTAACGACTGGGGACAAAAACCCCTGTAATAGTTTCCAAGGGCTGAGGTAGCAACGTACCACAAACTGAGTGGCTTAAAACCAAGCAATGCATTGTCTCACAGTTCTGGAGGTCAGAAGTCCAAAACCAAGGCATTGGTAGGGCCATGCTCCCTCCGAATCCTCCAGGGGAGGATCCTTTCTTGCCTCTTCCAGCTTCTGGCTCTCCTGGGCGTTCCTCAGCTTTGCAGATGCATCATTCCTCTTTCTGCTTCCTTCTTCACACGGCATTCTCCCTGTGTGTCCCTTTGTCAAAATTTCCCTTTTGTTACAAGGACACCTGCCTTATTGGATTAGGGCCCACACTAGTAACCTTGTCTAAACTTGATTATATCTGCAAAGACCCAATTTCCAAATAAGGTCACATTCACAAATCCCAGGGATTAGAGCTTCAACGTATCTTTTTGGAGGGTACCCACCAATACCACAGTATCTTGACTAATGTAGCTGCGCAGTAGGCCTTCACATCAGATAGAGTGATTCCTCCCATTTTTTTCCTTGTCAAGATTGGTTTAACTATTCCAGAGCCTGTGTTTTTCAGTACAACCCATTTTACTCCCCACTTGGATTTTTCTTTTTCCTTTTGAGACAGGGTCTCCGTCTCACTGCACCCAGGCTGAAGTGCAGTAATGCAATCAAAGGGAGCTTTGCAGGAGCACGCGCCAGTGTTAAATTATGGAAACTGCTCTGGGGTCTTTTCCAGGCCCATGACTCTGTGACCTTTGATTTCCTGGCTCTTGAAGCCTCCTGGGAAGTTGATCCTGGTAACCCAGAGACGTAAACACCCCTCAGGTAAGGCGATGTGATGGATTGGCCGTGTCTTCTGGTTTGCTTGCTGTCACATTTAATGCAGGCTCCAAGCCTGGCCACTCAGTCACTGTCATCCAACACTTCACTCAGAGCTAACACCCGCTCTTTCCCATTAATGAGGCTCTATTTG
This sequence comes from Homo sapiens, assembly GCF_000001405.40. Taxonomy (NCBI): domain Eukaryota; kingdom Metazoa; phylum Chordata; class Mammalia; order Primates; family Hominidae; genus Homo; species Homo sapiens. Next base: position 44,098 of record NT_187514.1, on the reverse strand, counting down.
GAGACTCTGGCCTTTACCCCAATCTTGTTTCTCCTTTCCCTTCCTGTCACATCCAGGAGAAGGTGGTGTTCAAGTTATCTGTCACCCAGAGGAAAAGTTAAACCATGTGAGGCAAAAATCTCCAAGGAGTTGTTTTTCTGATTTGACTCTTGCTGAGAAAATCTTGACTGTATCATGTGGTCCTTCCCCCATCCATATATCTGTATGTAGTGTTACCTGCAGTGGCTTCTTGACTCATAGATTTATGAACTTGTTTGAAGAATTTTTTGAGAAAGATGAAGTCAATCTGTGAGAGGAAAATTGTAGACAATTAGACAATTTCCCATAAGGGCGATTCAGTTTGAATGATATTCAATGGAACTTGTGCCCCAAAACAGTAGACACCAAATGTCCCTATAATTCCCAGCATTCTTTGCAGATAAGTTGTCCTCATGTGACTAGTAATGGTCAATGGACTGTGAGCAGAAGTAACATGAATTATTTCTGGCCTGAGGCAGTTACGAGTAGATGTGACAACTCCATTCTTCTCTTCCACTGCAATGGGGAATAAAGGGACCACATATCCCATATGGAACAAACAGGCTTTGTCTATCTTGTCCATTTCTGGTCCCAGCACATAGGAAAGTATGAGGCATATAGAGGTATCCAATAAATACATGATGCATGAACAGATGAGTGAATGAATTAATTAATGAATGAGATAATGAAGTTTCTACATACATCTCCAATGTTTCTCCGTTAAGCAACTGAAAGAAAACCCTTGTCCAGGTGTGGCTTGGGAGAAGGTTTCATTCTTCCTCTTCCTTCTTGCTTGGATCAAGTTCCATGAATCCTTTCCTGGAGAGTCCTGCTGTCCCTGCTTGGGAGACACTTTGTGTCTCTCAAGTCTGCTTCCTCATGACAAAGTCTGTTTTTACATGGTCAGAGGAATCCTCCTCACATAGGCTTTCACAAAAGCAGTTTTAAATTCCAATGAGGTCTACTTTATCAATTTATTTTCTGCTATGGGTCACACTTTTGGTGTTTAAGAATTCTAGCTGGGTGCTGTGGCTCATGCCTGTAATCCCAGCACTTTGGGAGGCTGAGGCGAGTGGCTCACTTGAGGTCAGGAGTTTGAGACCAGCCTGGCCAACATGGTGAAACCCCGTCTCTACTAAATATACAAAAATTAGCCAGGTGTGGTGGCAGGTGCCTGTAATTCCAGCTACTCTGGAGGCTGAGGCAGGGGAACCACTTGAACCTGGGAGGCAAAGGTTTCTGTGAGCTGAGATCGAACCACTGCACTCCAGCCTGGGAGAGAGAGTGAGACTCCATCTCAGAAACAAAAACAAACAAAAAGGACTCTTTGCCCTAGGTCATGAAGATTTTTCCTACATTTTCTTCTAAAAAGTTTTATGGTTTTGTGCTTTACATTTATCATTTATGTATGTTATTCATTTTTAGTTATATAGAAAGTGTGCTGAGATTCCTCTTTTGCTTATGGATGTGTAATTGCTCTAGCACCATTTGGTGAATAAGATTAACTTCCCCCATAGAATGGCCTTTGTACCTTTGTCAAAAATCAATTGAACATGTTTGTGTGGGTCTATTTCTTCGTTTTCTATGGATGTATGTATCCCTCTTTTAGTACCACGGTGTCTTGATTAATGTCGTTGAATAGTAAGCCTTAATGCCAGCTAGAGTGATTCCTTCCATATTCTTTGTCAAAATTGATTTAACTTTCTAGAACATGTATTTTTCCATGTAAGTTGATGAATAATTCGCCTATGTTTACTAAAAGGTCTGCTGGGATTTTGATACAAATTGCATTAAACCAGTATATCAATTTGGTAAGAACTGACATCTTTACTAAGTTGAATACTCAAAACCATGAACACGGTCTTTTAAAATTTCTCTTGTAAATATTTTATATTTTTCAGTATATAGATTCCATATGTATTTCGTTAAGTGTATAGCTAAGTATATTATTTTCTTTAGTGTGACTGTAAATGGTATTGTGTTTTAAAATTTGATTTCTGCATATTTTGTTAGCTTGGAGAAATACGCTTAATTTTTGTGTGTTAACTTCGCAACCTGAGAACTTACTGAACACACTTACTAGCTCTGGGAGATATTTTCTAGATTCTTTGAGATTTTCTATGTAGATAACTGTGTCATCTGCAAATAGAGATAGTTTTATTTCTTCTTTTACAAACTATATACCTTTTATCTGTTTTTCTTACCTTAATGCAGTGGCTATAAATTCTAGTACAATGTCAAATAAGATAAATGAGAGCAGGCATATCCTTGCATTTTTCCTAATCTTTTGTATTTTTTGTTGCTAATCATACAGCATTTGACCACTAAATAATTTGTCACCTGTGGTTTTGTATAGATGTTATTTATTTTCCTGAAGAAATTGTATAATATTGGTGTTTATTCCTCTTCAAAAATTTGGTAGAAGTCTCCAGTGAAACCACTTAGGCTGAAAAATTTCTTTTTCAGAAATTTTAAACATTATGAATTTAATTTGTTTGATGGCTATAGGGTTATTCAGACTACCCATTTTATCTTGGCTTACCTTTAGTAGTTTATGGTTTTTGAGAATTTGGTCCAATTCTTCTATTTTATGAGCATAAGGTTGTTCATACAATCTCTTATTATCCTTTTAATAGCTGCATGGTCTATAGTGATATTCCCTATTTCATCCCCAATATTAGTGATTTGTGTCTCCTGTTTTTTTTTTCTTGTATCTTCTTATTTGCTGAAGGTTTATCAATCTTATCATTTTTTTTAAAGAGCCAGTTTTTTTTTGTTTCATTGATTTTACTTATTGTTTTCCTATTTTCAATTTCATTGATTTTTTGCTCTTTTCATTATTTCCTTAATTTTGCTTGCATTGGCTTTATTTTACTCTTCTTTTTCTAGTGTCTTGAGGTAAGAACTTAGATTATTGATCTGAGATCTTTCCTTGTTTCTAACATAGGCATTTAATACTATAATTCTTTTTCTTTCAGCACTATTTTGGCTGCATCGTATACATTTTTGATACGATGTATTTTTGTTTCCATTCAGTTTTATGTATTTTTTAAACATTCCCTTAAGACCTTCTTTTTGACCCATGGATTTTTAAAGAGATGTGTTGTTTAATTTCTACATGTTTAGGGGTCTTCCAGTTGTCTTTCCATTATTGATTTCTACTTTGGTTCTGTTATAATCAGAGAATATCCTGTATAATTTCAATTCATTTATATTTTTTGATGTTTGTCTCATAGCCCAGTATATAATTTATCTTAATGAATGGTCTGTGGTTGCTTGAAAGAGTATGTATTCTGGTGTTGTTGGCAGAGATTGGAAGAGTGGATAAAAAAACCACATTTTTCTCCCATATGTGTCAATTAGATTTTGCTGGTTGATTTTGTTGTTCAGATCTTCTATATCTTTGCTAATTTTCTGTCTAGTAGTTCTTTCAGTTGCTGAGAGATGTATGGTTTGAAGTGTCCAGCTACAATTGTGGATTTGTCTGTTCTGTCAGCTTTATCAATTTTGTTTTATGGATTTTAAAACTCTGTTGTTTGGTGTGCACATATTGAGGGGATTTTATATCTTCCTGGTGGACTGGTCCTTTTATCATTGTGTAGTGTTCTGTTTTGTCTCTAGTAATAGTCTTTGTGCTGAAGTCTACTTTATCAGGTTTTTTTAAAAAGATAATTTTTACATAGTATATCTTTCAAACTGTCTATGTCATTGAATTTGAGGTGGGTTTATTATAAGCAGTCTATAATTTGGTTGTGTTTTTTTATCCACTCTTCCAATCTCTGTCTTTTGATTGCTGTATTTATACCTTTAACATTTAATGTAATTTTTGATGTTAATACTTAAATTTACCCCTTTATTATTTGCTTCCTGCTATATATTTAGTTTTCATTCCTCTGTTTTTACTTTATTGTCTTTCCGAAGATTGCATGAACATTTGTTAGGATTCTATATTGATTTATTTATAATATTTTTAAATATATCTATTGGTAGAGTTTTTGTAGTGGTTGTTCTGGTTGTGACAATATATACTTATGAGACTTATAGTTTTCTACTGGTATCAACATTTTACCTCTTCAAGTGAAGTATGGATACCTGCCTTCCTTGTATTTAGATTCTTAACCAAAGATTCTTTACCTTCTCCACTCTCAAATATTGTCTTGGGTATCAGATGGTGTCATAATTTTTCTTTCAATAATAAAATATGTCATATTTTGTCTACATAAATAGACAAAAATAATAGTCTATTTATGTACCCATATTTCTGCTTTTTCTGTTGTTTCTTCTTCCTTAATAATGCTCCAAGACTTCTTCTTTTACTATTTCCTTTCTGTTTGAAGAACTTCCTCATAGCCAATTTTTAAATATAAAACTGCTAGTGGCAAACTTTAAAATTTCCCTTTGTTTGAGAATGTTTTTATTCCCTTCCCATTTCCTAAGGATGGTTTCATCAGATACAGAATTTGTGATTGATTTTTTTCAGCACTTGAAAAATATTGTGCCACTTCTTTCTGGCTTCTATAGTTTTCAAATGAGAAACCTCCTGTTATTTGAATAGGTGTTCCCTTTTAGGTAATTTGGTAATTTGTGGTTTCTCTTTGGCTGCTTCCAAGACTTTTTTCTTTGTCCTGAGTTTTAAAGTTTTACTATCATGTGTCTTGGCATGATTTTTTTCTGTTTATCTTCTGTGGTATTTGATTAGTTTCTTGGATCTATAGATTTGTTTCTTTCACCTGGTTTGAAAAATTGTCAGTCATATGTCTTCTAATAGTTTCAGCCCTTTATTCTCTTTCTCCTTTTCTTGACTTCTGATTGTATGAATGTTGGATCTTTTCTTATTGTCCCATAGGTTCCTGAGGCTCTTCCTTCTATATTCTCTTTGTTGTTCAGGTTGGGAAAATTCTATTGCTTTATCCTCAAGTTCACTAATTCTATTCTATCATCTCCACTCTACTATCCAGCAAGTTTGTAAAATTTCTGTAACTGCATTTTTCAGTTCTATAATTTCCTTCTGGATTATTTTTGTAACTTTTATTTCTTTGCTGAGACCTCCTGTTTTTCCATTCATTTCAGGACAACGTGTAATTGATTGTGGAAGCATTTTATGGTGGCTGCTGTAAAATTATTGTCAGATAATTTCAGGATCTGACTCACCTCGGAGTTTGCCATCAGTTGATTGTCTTTGCTCATTTAAATTGTGAAGGTATTGGTATGACAGGTGATTTGCAATGGTATCCTGGTCATTTTGCTGTATGAACAACCAAGAGAATCTTGAACCCATGGGACTAAGAGGCTTGACCTGAGGTTTTGACTCATTGAAATGTTGGGAATCTCATTGCTGTGGTGTAAGAGAGGCTGTCACAATGATGTTCTGCAGTTAGGGCTGATCCACTTGTCACCCTTCTTTGGATGATAATCACTCACTTCTGAATGTCTTGCTGAGCTCAACTCTTTTGACCTCAAATCAGGTTCCCACACCGGCCCCCAGAGCACCATTTCTGAAATAAAGCCTGACTCTTGTATTACTCCTGCTGAAGAACAGCATAGTGGCCAACAGCTTGGGTTCCAGAATGTGCACACCTGGGTTCACACATAAATACAGTTCTACCACTGGGTAGGCTGCATGGACATTAGTGATTTACTTCATCTCCCTCTGCCTCAGTTTCTACATCTGCTAGTGGAGGGGATACTGACTTCTACCTCCCAGGCTTCTTGTTAGGTATGAATGAGTTAATGCAGGTAAGCGCCTTTGACAGTGCCTGGTGCATAGTAGACATTCCATGAATGTTAGGAGGGAAATGATGTTCTAGTGGCCCCAAGGATGTGCCAAACTGTGGTTTGGCTTTCAAGGTTCTTTACCATGTGGCCCCTGCTGACTCTTCAACCTCATCTCTGGTTATTTCCTGTATTACACTTGACTCTGAGATGCCCTCTAGTTCCTGACACACTTGGTCTCACTGTCACCTCTGCCTTGACCAGTTTCTCTCTGCTTCCCCTTGAAGCTTCAGCTCAGGAGTCACTGTCCCAGGAAGTCCTCCCCAGTGCTCCCTCTCCCTGCCACATGAGTTATGTGCCCCTAGTCTGTGCTCCCAGAGCCTTTACTCATATCCCTGTGATGGTGGTAAAATTAACATGCTCAGCAGTATTTATTGAACATCTATGAGTGTGCCTGGCACTTTGTGGTGGCTGGAGAAACAGTGAGGAAGATTCATCTTGTGGTTCTTGCTTTAGTGGAGAGGATGTTCTAGGAATAGAGACCTGATGTTGGCTGTGTCATAAGTGGGTGTCCCAAGCTCACAGCCCCTGTGACAATAATGCATGCTGGGGCTTTAGGCCTGGAAAAGCACTGGGGGCCCTTATTCTAGACAAACCCAGAGGATGTAGGATGTGGCCAATGGAGATAGAGCTGATGTTGGAGAAAGGGGCTCACCCTTGAGGGCATGTGGACCTCCCCTGCAGACCCTAGGACCAGACAGGGAGGAACTCACCATCAGATGTGTGTTGACCTCCCTCCAGGCTCCCCTGTGGTCAGGATATTGGGGCTGTTGCTACAAAACCTCTGGCGGTGGAAGAGCAGAGCAGACGTGAGCTCTCTGGGCAGCTGGGCTCCAGAGAATGAGCAGTGAGCTTGTCCTGCTCTTCCTCAAACTCACGACCTTTTGGTGGGAGGTGGAGGGCAGTGGTGTCTGGGGGAAATCTCTCCCCAGGGAAACTATGAGTGAAGGAAGTTTCCGCCTACCTCGGAGTAATGAAATAACAGCATAACCCCTCATGGAGCATCGCTCTGTGCCAGCACAGCTGTTACCATCTTACCCAGGGAGCCTAGAGGCTTACAAAAGTGAACTCAGTTGCCCGATCCCCCTGGAAGTGGGGAGTCAGAAAATGGACCCAAGCTTGACTCAAAGCTCTTATATTTCACTGGCTCCCCCAACAGTGACCTCAGGCCTGAGCCCTGCTGGCCTCACCCTGCCCTGGGATGGCTCACTCCATGCTGAGTGGCTCTGACCATCAGAAAGTTCTTCTTCCCTTTGAATTCCAAGCTGTCTCCTGGTGGATTCCACCAACCAGTCCTTGTTTTGCCCTCTGGAACTGCACAGTGAATTTCATCTCCTCAGTAATTGCAAAATAAATTTAATAAACTCCATTAAAGTGTGTAATCTCACAGACAAGATGCAGAATCTCTGTGCTTCAGACTTTTTTCCATAATTACTAGCACCATGGAAGTTGCAGGGATTAGAAACTCTACTGGAAACGAGGACAGATTGTGTCGCCGAGAGAGTTCAGACGAACTGAGAGTTCAAACTCCTGCACAGTAAGGCGGGCTGGGACTTGCATTAAATTAGAAGGTGGGTCCAGGCCCATTAACTCCATGGGAACAGTGACCTTCTAGGGTTTGCTTAGGAAACTGGGAAGAGTGGGAAGGGGGTAGGAGGCGTCAGGTGTTGTGAGTTGATGCCTGACTGTCTTTGAAAAATTAATTTGTTAAATGTCTGCACTGAAAGGAATGTTTGAAATTGAGAAAAATCCCACTTTCCTGATTGAACAACATTGCTCTACCTTGACCACTTCCTCCCACCCTCAGGGAAGAGGTGATTTGCCCCAGAGGACACAGCTGGCTCTTGGGCGACCTGGGACTCGGACACAGTGGCTTTACCAACATGCCAATAAATCCTGGTCATCAGGTGATCAGGAAACATCTGCGGTAGCAAAAGAAGAGCCTTTTCTCCAGTACAAACCTGTCATTGAACATCTGCTATGTGTCACGTGATGGGGCTTTCTCTTGGAATCCCCTTACCAGCCCCACTTGATACCAATCATCTCCATTTTACAGATGGGAAAGCTGAGGCTGAGAGTGACACAAATGCTAGCCCAAGTCCACCTTGTTAGCCATTCACAGAGCTGAAGCTGAAACCCAGGCCTGCCTGACTTCACCAGCAACATTGGGAGCAGCTGGAGAGACTCTAATGCTGGTCTGGCAAGCAGGTTCCATTTCACAAGCTAATGTTGGTTGGTTGGTTGTGTCTTCTTGATTGACAAATTGTCTTGACAAGGAATTTGGAACTGAATTCAGGGTCAGGAAGAAGGAGTGCTGTGAATGATTGGTGATGTCTGCCACAGGAGTGCAGAGTAGGACAGGAGTGTCACACAGATGCTATTTGAGCTGAAGTCTGGCAAGCCGAAACCCCAGTGTTTGACAGTATGCTGGGTCCCACATCAGGGGCAGGGTACATCTGATCACTGCTTGCTCTTCCCTACGGTGGATGGCCATGCAGTCTGGTTCTACTTTCAGGTGCTGGTTCTCCAATTCTTTGTTCTGCTCCCAGGGGACCCAGCCTTGCCTACTTCCCTGGGTTGTTGTTAAGATTGAAAGAGGTGATGGATGAGAAGGCCCTTGATGTCCAGGTGAAAAGGATGGAGAGTCATTTAAACACAACTTGCTTCTCTCAAAACCAACCGAAGACAGCACAAGATGAAAAGAGGGAAGAGGTTTCATCATTTAAACCAGAAATTGGCTACGACTCACTCCATCCATAAACTCTGAAGCCTTTCTGCCAGGACCTGTGAAACCTAGACCAGGGCAAATACAGAAACTGAGACCCACAAAAACTTCCTTGAGCTTTGAATAGTGGTCATTCAACATCTCTCCAGATGTGAAGGGCTTATCCAAACACCTTTGGCTTAAAGATCCCTAAAGACTCGCAGGGGAGTGGTGGTCACAGAGCTGGCTGGCAGGCTGAGGGAAGGCCCCCTCAAGTGGAAAGCCACCAGCGCCTACATAAGGCCCCTCAGTGTGTCCTTTGGTGGAGAGAGTCCAGGGAGATGGGAGAGGCACAAAGCAACCTCCTCCAAAAATGTCCAGACCCACCTCTGCCTACCACTGCCCTGCCAACCTCCACCCCATGATGGAGGAGATGCTGCTCTCAGGTCATCAGGGCCTAAGTCACTGAGTGGGCCACAGGCAGTAGGGGCTGGGCACACGCCCCTTCCCCAAAGCCTTTCTTGTCCCACTCCTGTCACTGCCATGTGGTGGGCAGGCCCTATGACACCCCTCATCGTTTCTGCCTCCTCCAGCCAACCAGTTGGGGGTAAACAAGGCCAGAGGCTGCTACACAAACATGGCCCTACTGGCCCCCATCTTTGAATGTCCTTCCTTTATAGTCAGCCACCCGGGAGTGACACTGGAGCAAGGTAAGCTCCGAGGCTGCCTTATGTGCTTACATCACACATGGGGAAGGGCCATAGTCAGGGCAGGGGGAAGTGTCGCAGATTAAGAGACATAGCAGAAGGTGACATGCTAATGAGGACTGGTGTCTTTCGAGGATGCGGCAAAGCATGCCACCATCAACAAGATATTGTTACCACATGGCTTTGTGGTTGTGGGGAAGATTTGGTGTCCTTCAAATCTTTGGACACATTCCAGCGTGCTTTGAGTCTTCAATGCTGCTGAACCCTGGCAGGCTGAGAAGCACCGCCCAGAATCCCTGACTTTGGCAGGGTTGGCAGCCACCCTCCACTCCCGTACTCTGGACTGCAGTGCCCAGGGCTGGAGGCAGCAAGGGATCAGCAAGGACGAGGCAGCCCTGTGTGTGCCCCACACTGGGCGCCTTCCCTGGGCCCTGCCCAGCCTCCCCCATCTTCCTTGTTCTGCACATTGCAGGCCAGGGCTCTGGGCACTATGAGGTTAATGAAAACCTGGAGGAGGTGAGCCGGAAGGGAAATTGCTGTTAAGTGTTCCTCTTTCTTTTCCTTTCTGCTGCCTCAGTCATCTCGTCCTCATCCATGGATCAGGCCAGGGCTTGAGACTCATAATTTCAAAGTCCTTTTAACTTTTCTAGGGCAGAATTGTATTGCTTTTGGCCAAAGGCCACTCTGGGATTTACAGAGCAAAGAGCAAGTACAACTCTCTCTTTAGCGTAAGTCACAGGGTTCAAAACAGGATGCGTGGGGCTGATTTGGTGGCTCCACCTGGGATGACCCCCCTGAGCCTCCCAGAGCCAGGACCCATGTGGCAGACACGGCCGCATGGGCTGCTGGACTGATTTCTCTTCTAGGTTTGCTCTTGGTGCAGTACCGGCCGTGATCACCGCCAAAGAGCCCCGAGGTGGCTGCAGGGCCTTGACAGAGTGTGAGGTGCCCCAGGGCAGTGCCGCAGGGTGGGGGGGCCTACAGCCCACCACCTGCCTTGCAGGCCAAGAGCCAAACCTCTCCCTGCCTCAGTTTCCTCACTGACAACATGGGGAGAGAGTAACATACCCCGTGTGACTGCTTCGAGGGTGAAATGAGGTGATGCAGGTGAAGTGTATGCCTGGCACAGTCAGCTTTCAATAAACATGATTATTATTCAGGTTTCTTGAACCCAGGGATTCCAGAGCTTTCCATCAGAGCCCAGTCTCCTGGGAATGGAAAGTTATGAGGCAGAAATTGGCAGTTAATTTTCTGTCTCTCACGGAATCATCTGGAGCCCTGCAGTGAGATCCGGGCAAATGTAAAGCAAAATAGAGCCATCTGTCTGGCCCCGACCGGCCTCATCTAGTAAGGGACGCGGGTCCTGTGGCTGGATCGAGGCCTAGTGTGAGTGGAGTGAGGGGCTGTGGATGGGGCGGTGAATCCATGCTGGAGCCAGCAGAGTTATAAACACTGGGGGAGGTGGGGGGCGGGGTGTTCTGGATTTCTTCCTGCCACTGAAGAACATGGAAACCATAGATCCAAGGTTGGGGGCTCGCAAGCCAGCACCTCAGTCCTTCCTGCACAGTCTGTGTGAGAGATTCAGCAGGCCCCCCACCCAGGGTCCCTCAGAGGCTGTGCCCATTGTGAACTCAGGGGGCCCTGGAGGGGAGTCCAGGGGAGATACAAGGAGGGACAGGGCAGGAGCCCAGCTCAGAGCTTGGACGTGTCCTTCCCGTTGGGAGCCTCGCTGGACTTCCCCATTGACTGGTGGCAGCAGCTCAGAGTTGTGGCATTGCTGTGGCATTGCTGTGAGGATCGCAGGAGCATTGGAGGCAGAGTCAGCCCTGGCTCAGCACAGACAGAGAGGGTCTGCGGGAGGGCCTGGGCCGGGGCGGTCTGTAGGAGATGGGAAAGGAGGGAACCAACAGTGGTGCCCAGACATTGGAGCAGGTCAGACTCACCCAGGGAGGTGGTAAAATACAGATTCCCTGGCCCTCTCCAGAGGTTTTGGTTCCCAGGAATGAGGGGGTCCTGGGAACCTGCCTGAGAACAAGCTCTCCTCCATCGGGGGCTGGCCGCAGCTGGCCACAATTTGGGGGCCCTCTCAGGCCCTCAGCAGGTAGAGCAGAGCAGGGCAACCAGTCGGTGGAGGCTGGAATTGGAGGACGCAGAGTGAGCCAAGGTCCTGGCAGATGACAGGTGAAGGGGGTGGGCTGTGACCGGGCACATCATTGCCCCTCTCTGCACTTCAGACCGCTGGTCTGAGAAATCAGGGGTGGTACCAGCCCCCCTCCAGGGGGCGGTGCCAGGCTTGAATCAGTGCAGGCTGGTGCTGCCCTGGGGCCCCTCCAGAGTCTGTGTTCTTCCTGATGTTGACAAACACCCTCCCTATCCCGTGGAAGCCATGCCCCCTGCCCTGAGGTCAGCCCAGGAACCACAGGGCTCTCCCCCAGCTCTGGCATCATCAAGACCCTCCAGGAGGCTGGCTCCTGCCAGTCCACCCCAGGCAGCATCCTCAAAGATAAACCATTTTCCTAGTGGCCAAAATGTAAACCATATTGCTTGGAAAATGCAGTTCAAACAGAATTACCAGAATCCTGTGTCACCAGAGCAGGCATCACACAGCCGGCATCTTCAAAGGTATCAATTATCATAATTAATGAGACCTTCCCCAGACTCCTGACACAATGATCTGTCAGCAGGAGCAGCCGAGTCCAGCCAGAGCTGCCTGTGAGTCAGCAAGGATTGTGGGAGGAGAGGGATTGGCCCACACCACCCCGCCTGGCACCTTCCCCCTCCCCACCCCCAGTGGGGGCTCAGGGTGCTCCATCCCTCCCGACAGCCCAGGTGGGGCAGCTCCATTAGTGGAGGTGGTGCTCACCCTGCACACTCCACGGTGAAGTTTCTGAGACTTGGAAGCAGGAGGTGAGTGGGAACACGTGTGCATTCAGGATCATCATCATCATGTGGAATAATAAGGATAATAAAATAGTAATGACAATAGCAGCTCTCACATACTGAGCACCTACTGTATGCCAGGCCCTGAGTTAAGATGTTATGCCCATGAGCTCATTTGACCCCGTTATCCATGGTGACCACAGAATTCATCCTCCGACTGGGATGCTTGGGAGACTGGAAGATGGCACTGGGAGTAATGACACCCACCCCGGCCCCTGGACAGCCTGGCTCCCCTACTTCAGGTCTCAGCTCAGACGTCCTCATCTGCGCGCTCCTCCTGACTGCGTCTCACGTGTCACTGTCCCACTCCCTCCCATCATGCGCTGCCCCTTCACCTGTCCTGTGTCCCTGACCTCATCGCCACCCACATGCCCCACAGCTGGTCAGTCCTTTATGTGTCTGTCATCTCTCCCCATTACCATGTGGGCTCCCCGAGGGGAGGGATGGGGCCTCTTCTGTCCACTGTGGTGTCCCAGGGCCTCAGCCAGTGCCTGGGCCACGGTAGCTACTCATCCTGTGATGATAGATGGGTGAATGAATTAACGAAAAGTCCTGAAATACAGGAACCGGGATAAGTGTGCACTTCTCCTTTCTAAGACTTCGCTGGGGTGTCTGCTCTCCTGGAGAATCTTCTGTAACCCTGAGTCACTGTGCAGGCCTGGGAGGACGGGAGCTGGGCCTGGGGCCGAGCCGCACAGTCTGAGTCTGAGCGAGTCCCCTGATGTGTCAGTGATAGTCTGCAGCGAACTTGCTTGTCTGTACATTTTACAAAATGCACACTGGTCTCCTACATTAATCACATGTGGATTGGATCCCAGGAACAGGATGTAGCAAGCACATCAGATTCCCTGGTAAGACAGATGCCAAGTAGAGGGTGGGAAACCAGTCCCACGATAACGCAGGGGCCTGCTGCCCCAGGGAGGGGCTGTTAGCTTTGAGTGGAAACCAGATCAGGAGAAGGCTCTGCAGCAAGTTCATTCAGACTGCGGCACAAGCTGCTCCACCACTTGGAGCTTATGACCCAGCAGATTTCACCATACTCAAAGCATCTATGGCAAACAGGGTGCTGTATAGAACCCCTGGCCAGCACCAATAGGGGAAGCCCAGTTCAGACTTATAGGAGATTTTGGAGCAGTCTACGCCCTCTTTTGCAGATAACAGCGTTCCTTTTGAGAAATGGCTCCTGGCTTGCTACTGGGCTTTGGTAGAGACTGAACATCTAAATATGGTACATCAGGTGACCATGCAACCTGAGCTTCCCATCTTGAACTTGGTATTGTCTAACCATAAGGTCAGGTGAGCACAACCTAGCAAATAGAAGAGGTAAGAGATAGGTTCAAGGAGATTGGGAAAGTATGAGTAAGAGGCATGGGCAGGTGGTTCAGAGTCTTTCAAAACTAGCCCCTGCTGCATCTCCCCGCCCCAGCAGATGCTCCTGGGTGTTCCTCAGGACTGGGAGGAGGGCGTTCCTCCTTCTCCTCCTGAGGTGCTGACTGAGGAATAAGGAACTTGAGTCTGGTTGACATATGAGTCTGCACAGTGGGCTGGTATCACCCTAAAGTGGACAGCTGTCCCACTATGGCCCCACACTGGGGTGACCTTGAAGGACCCTGGTGAAGGGAAATCCTCTCAAGATTTTGAATAGCACATTTGGTTTTCCACTGAGTCCAAAGTGAGAGAAGGCCAGAGGATAGGGTCTACATGGACTCATGTGCATGGACAAATGTTTGGCTGGTGATCGGGGACTCGGAAGGAACAGGGCTGGAGCCTGGTGGTGAGGAAGTGTGGGGAAGAGGTGTGTAGCTGGACCTCAGAATGGCCACAAGTGGTGACAATATTTGTGTTCCAAGTGAATGCTCACTAAAGGGCATCCACTGCAGGTGAGAACCCTAATAATCAGATGGACAAAATGACTTTCCACACAGCCACCCTAGTGTTTGCTCAATGGGTCCATGGACGAAGGGGCTGTGGTGGCAGTGATGGAGGCTGGGCATAGGCTCAGCAGCATGGGCTGCCCCTTGTCAAAGCCGATCTGGCTAATGCTATTGATCAGTGCCTAGTCCACCAGCAGCAGAGACCAACACTGAGGCCCTGGTGTGGCACCCTTTCCTGCAAGGACCTGCCTGCCATCTGGGGCAGGTTGAGGACATCAGACCTTTTCATCATGGAGGGCATGGAGTGTCATCCTCCATGTTCTGGGTGTGAACTTGCCTTCCCTGCCCATGCTTCCTCCTCTGGCATCATTTTCCGTGAACTCCCAGAATGTCTTCTGCCATCATGGCATCCTCATGGCACTGCCTCTGATCCGGGAGCTCATGCCACAGCAGAGGAGGCGTGGTCACAGGCTCTAGTCCGTGGGGTTAGCTGGTCTTACAACACATCTGGAAGTGGCTGGCCTGACTGAAAGGTGGAATGGCTTCCTGAAGTCTCAGTTGTGATGCCAATTGGGAGACCACACCCTGAAAAGATAATGTTCTTTCTTGCAAGACACAGAGTGTGTTTTGAACCAGAGGCCATGATACGGTGCTGTCTCTGCATAGTCAGAACACCCAGGCTCAGGGACAAGGGGTAGAAGGTGGCGTGGCTCCTACCACAATGACACCTAATAACCCACCCACAAGGACTTTGTTCCTGGTCACATTGTGGCAACTGTGTTCTCTGCTGGCTTAGAGGGCTTAGCTCCCAGGGACACAGCAATGGTTCCACTGAATCAGAAAACGAGACTGCCACCTGGCCATTTTGGGCCTGTGCCACTGAACCAACAGGGAAGAAAGAGGTTAATCTGCTGTCTGGAATGATTGCTCCCAATTACCAGTGGGAGACTGGGATGCTGCTGCAGTGTCGGGAAGAAGACCCCGTCTTGAAATCAGGGGATTCTCTGAGGTGCCTCTTAGTGCTCCCACGTCCCATAGTAAAGATTAATGGAAAACCACAGAAACCTACTCCCTGCCCAAATGAAGGCTGGATAGCAGAGCCTTCAGTAATGGAGGTTTGGGTGACTCCACCAAGCGGAGAATACTGACATCTCCATCTGAGCTTTGGGTTGAGACTGGGGGCGGGGAAGCTGGCGGGGGGAATATGGAAGGAAGGGTGGGGAAAGGTAGCCATACATATCAATGATGACCTCAGGACCAAGTAGGAAAATTTGCATGTTTTCAATTTGCTTACTCTATGTCTGTGTTCACTTACATATGCTAGCTACTTTCTTCTTCTTTTTCCTTTTTCCCATTTTTATTCTATATACAAGTGGTTGGAAGTTAACTTAACAATTTAGTCTTCAGTAACAGAATAGTCAGTGAACTGTGACTGAATTTGAGGAGTAATTTATAGCCAGCAGTGGATGCAATGAGTCTTGGGATCATGTGCCTCCTCATTTTGGAGAAGGATCTTGTTCCCTTGTAAGACAGATAGCTGTCTCTTATGAGATGGAAATGATAGAGTTCTGTTGCTGTTATATGGGAATCCAAATGTGTGTAGAGTGTGTCTATGAAAGGTGAGCAGGTGTGGACCGTGCCAGTTACAAATTTATTGCCTCTCAGCTCCAATTCACGCCTCGTTGCCTGATCTGTGAAAGTGGAAATGGGTACCACTCTGAATATTTTTCATTTCCCGGTTGGCATGACATTAAATGTGGTCAGTAGAGGGCAGCAGAGAGACATTGCAAGAGGAGGGAGCTTTCCTTCCTAGTTCTGGTTTCTTCCTGGGTTAGGCAGGCTATGGCCGCAGGACTGGCTTCCTTAGGTCCCAGGTCCTGTAGCACAGGTGGCTTCCCCAGCACCCAGCCTTCTGGCACATGCGGCCTCTCTAGCATTCCCTTGGTCCTGTGCAGACAGCATTCCCAGGCCCAGCTCCTGTAGTACAGGCAGCCCCACCAGCTCCCAGCTCCTGCAATGCCAGTCCTTCCTCAGTGCCCAGCTCCTGCAGTTCAGATGGCTCCTCCAGTGCCCAGCTCCTGCAGTGCGGGTGGCTCCTCCAGTGCCCAGCTCCCGCAGTGCGGGTGGCTCCTTCAGTGCACAGCTCCTGCAGTGTGGGCGGCTCCTCCAGTGCACAGCTCCTGCAGTGCAGGGTCTTTCCCTGTGCCCAGCTCCTGCAGCCCGGGTGGCTCCTCTAGTGTCCAACTCCTGCAGTGCACGGCCTTTCTCATGCCTAGCTCCTGCAGTGTAGGCAGCCCCTCCAGTGCCCAGCTCCTGCTGTGCACAGTGGTCAGCAACTCCCAGTGGCCAGCAGCAACTCCCAGCAACCCCCTCAGGTGGTTCTGTAGCCACGTGCCTTCCGTGATTCACCTCCCCGTAAATGGTGTTTCTCTGGCATCCTAGAGAGTAGATTCCTGACAAGTTCTGGAGGGCAGATTCCAGCAAGTTCCACTCATGTGGCAGTATGGCAACTTCCTGTCCATTCAGTAGCCACAACTCTGCCCTCTCCAACAGGGCCTGGGTTTCAGCCGTGGGGCCTCCCCCTTGGTGGCCCTCTCTAGCCCCTGAGCAGTGGCTGCTCTTCAGATTGGCTGTTTCTGTATTCCATAGTGCCCCCGCCACCCTCACTAACGAACCCCTTGTTACTCCAACCCACTGTAGCAGTTAATAATTCTTTGTATTAAACTTTCCCTGTATGGCTTCTGTGTCCTGCTGGAACCCTTGCTGAGACATCGGGGCCGGTGTCCTGACAACCACCCCGGCAGAGCTTGGTCCAGCTCCACCACCAAACAGCTGCGTGGCCTTGAGCCTGTCGCCTCCCCTCCCTGGGCCTCTTCCTCATGTGGGAGACAGCAGCCTGCCCCCGGGCTGCTTCAAAGATGAAGGCGGGTGAAGAATGCGGCGGCGCTTTGAACCAGCGCATGGGAGGGGAGGGAGTCCATTTGACTCTCCTCGGAGTGCACAGGCCTCCTGAGAGGGTTCTTGAGATGGTCCCCACCCCTGCCTGCCCATCCTCCAGCAGCCTGTTTATCCCCTGTGCAGGACTTGATTATGGGGCTCAGCCAGCCTGGCAGGCCTTGCAGAACCCAGCGACTTGGGCTGTTAACTCCTTCTGAGCCAGCCCGTGAGTCCCTTAGCAGATGTGCACACATGAGGATGGGGAGGCAGTGCCTGCAGGGGCCGAGAGTCAGAGCTGCCTTGCTGCCGGGGCTGGGAGTCAGGATGTGGTTGTGGGCATAATTCCCGCGGGAGACTTGGTTTCCCTTAGAGTTCTCTGAACCTCATTTGACCCTTTCTCATAAATCCTTATCGAGTGCCTATTACACAGTGAGCACTGTGCTGGGGCTGGGTTTACGTCGGGGCATCGGGAGGGAAACAGACACCTCCACTGACCACCTGGAGCCCAGTGTCCAGCAGGAAGGACAAATATTAATTTAAAAAATTCCAAAACATACAAATACCCACTGGGGAAAGTGCTCTAAGGGGAGTTAGAGGAACTGTCCTTGGGGGGAACCTTGAATGAGCCCCTTCTCCCTCTGCACCTCAGTTTCCTCATCTGTAAAATGGGGCCAAGCGTGGCATCCACCCCATAGGGGGGTTGTGAGGGTGATATGAAATCTCACCTGTAAAGTGCTCAGTGCGTGCCTGGCACACAGCACATGCCCATGTGCTGATTATTATTAGGATTATGATTTCAAGTTTCTTCATCAGAAGCACGAGATGAGCAGGAACCAATCATCATCAGTCACTGTGTGGCCACAGGCAAGCCGCTCTCCGCCCTGTCCTCAGTTTCCCCATCTGCTCACAGAGAGATGGGAGCTCTCTGCTCAGACATGGGGTCAGGTTTCTAGTCAATGTCAGGGTCCAGGGCTCCTCCCCGAGACCAGATTCCCAGAGGAGGACAGGGTCACAGCAGCCATTGGCCAAGAGGCCGCAGGGGTGAGCAAGAATGGATGGGGTGAGGCACTTGCCTGGTCTTTCCTGGAAGCTGTCATTGCAGCCCCCTATCCGAGGAGCGAAACCTGTACAGGAACAACCTGCTCTCTCCTTCCCCTGACACAGCCACTCCATCTCTTCCCACCACCCACTGCCAGGCCCCCTCCCAGGCCCTGGCCTCTCTGGCCACACCGTCAGCCTGGCACAGGGAGTAATTCTGGATTAAGGGGGTTGAGCTGGCTGGAGAGGCCTTCAGGTCATCTGGCTAACCCCATCCCATGGGGGAACCTGAGGGTGGGGTCTGGCTCTGCTCATGGTGTCTTTGGCCCTTGCATGGAGCATGGCACACAATAAGTGCTTAATAAGCTTCTATAGACTGGGTTGGTGAATTACGAATGACTCAGGGGAACCAGACCCAGCTGCCCAGTGACAGCTGAGTCTTTCAACTCCCCATCCATCAGACATCACCAGCAATACCCTGTCTTGGGTACAGCACCCGGCTGTTTGCAAATCCCTGCTGTCCATTGTGTTGCTTTTCTTTGTCCTTCAATCCTCTGAGCAACATCACTGAGTCTGCTTTACAGAAGAGGAAAGAGGGGCTCAGAGAGGGGAAGGGACTGACCCACTCAGGGGAGCTGGGAAGGAGCCTCTGAGAAGGACAGCCTTGGCTTGGGGTGACATCTAAGCCAGCCCCTTAACCCTACTGGGCAGGGGTGAGGGCAGGGGCGGCTCCTGTGGAAGCCCTGCTGCTTTCCAGGCTGCTCAAGAACACGAACTCCTTAATCCCCAGCCCTCCCCTCTGCACTGCCCACGCTGTCTGCACCTGGCTGGGTGTGTGCACGTGTGTGGAGGTGCAGCAGCAGGCGTCCCACCCTGGGAGCAGCAGTGTTGGGAGATGACTTTGGGGGGAAGGGGAATTTAGAGGGCCTCCAGGAACCTGCTGGAAGTGGGCAGATACATTCCTCGGGACGGGGTTGTGTCCCTCAGGGCTCCTGTCGGGGCAGAGAGACTGAGGTGAAGAAATGAGCAGAGCAGGAGCTGGAAAGGAGAGAGAATGAGAGGAGGAGGAGAAAGGCACCCACAGTCATGGGAGTAAGAGGCAAAGAGCTCTGACTTGCCTCGTCCTCCGGGAAGCCTCTCCTAGCCTCACCCTTGGCTAGGCTCTCAAGCCCTTATTCTGTCCATCCCTTAGGACACCTTTGCTCTGCCTGGCATTCTCGGCTGCTGGCTGCCTGACCTGGTATTTTTCCCCCACTGAGAGGGGAGGGCATTGCAGCCTGTCTGCCTCCATCCTGGTGGGCAGGACTTTGAGTGAGCATGGATGAAGGGATCCTCATCCTGGAGCAGAGAGGCTCAGAGCGTCTCAGTGACCTGCCCTAGTACCAAGAGCAAAATCAGGATTCAAACCCAGGTTCAACTGACCTGAAGCCTGGCCCCTCACCTATTCATAGGAACACCTACCGATCTGAACCACCACATTCACCACTTTTGAAAGGGCAAGGGCTTCCTTTTGGGGTGACTGGGAAGGGGCCATCCAGAGGCAAAGAGTGCCTCTCAGAAGTTGGTCATGTCAACCCCACCTTCAGTGCTCGGCAAACTCCTACTCATCTGTTAGGGCCCAGCACACCAAGGCCAGGTCCACATCTTGACTCCAGCTCCAGGGCCCAGTCTCAGCTTGGCACTTGGTGGGCACCAAGAGGGGCTTGTTGTTCTTTTACTCACTTACTCCTTCAAAAGTCTGCACTGAGCTCCCACTACATTACGGTCTGGGTTCTAGCAGCTGCAGCATCAAGCGAGTCAGATAAAGTCTCTGTCCCAAAGATCCTATTAAACAAATTACACAAGTTAGTGTGTAATTATCGCTCGCTTAAGTGCTCAGAAGGAAAGGAAATGGATTTGAGAAAGAACCTTAGGAGGGAGAACCTAATTTAGATTGGGGGATGGTGGCCAGAGAAGGTTCTCTGAGGAGGGGAATTTTAAATAGAAAAACTTGAAGGAGAAAGAGGAGACAACCCAGCCAGGATGGGGGAGTGCACTGACCGGTAGGGGCCAGGCCAGCCCAGTCCTCATGGCCTTGAAGGGTGGGGGCCTGATTTGAGAGCAGAGGAGGGCCCGATGGGTTCTGAGCCAGGAAACCATAGGACAGTGTTTGCATTTTGAGGTGATGACTGCTGAGGGATGGGGATTGGGTGAGAACAGGCATAGAAGTGGAGAGGCTGTGAGAGGCCATGGGGGTCTCATAGGAAGGAGCCTGAGCTGTGGCTGGAGTCAGGGAGGTGGAGAAGTGGGGAGGCTGGATGTCACCCTGAGCTGTGGTTGGAGTCAGGGAGGTGGAGAAGTGGGGAGGCTGGAGGTCACCCTGAGCTGTGGTTGGAGTCAGGGAGGTGGAGAAGTTGGGGAGGCTGGAGGTCACCCTGAGCTGTGGTTGGAGTCAGGGAGGTGGAGAAGTTGGGGAGGCTGGAGGTCACCCTGAGCTGTGGTTGGAGTCAGGGAGGTGGAGAAGTGGGGAGGCTGGAGGTCACCCTGAGCTGTGGTTGGAGTCAGGGATGTGGAGAAGCTGGGGAGGCTGGAGGTCACCCTGAGCTGTGGTTGGAGTCAGGGAGGTGGAGAAGTTGGGGAGGCTGGAGGTCACCCTGAGCTGTGGTTGGAGTCAGGGAGGTGGAGAAGTGGGGAGGCTGGAGGTCACCCTGAGCTGTGGTTGGAGTCAGGGAGGTGGAGAAGTGGGGAGGCTGGAGGTCAACCTGAGCTGTGGTTGTTGGACTGAGCAATGAACAGTCTCAGCAAAGAGGGGTGATGGTCTTGTTTGTGGGGCAAGGGTTGGAACCTGCCTCCAGGTCTCTCCAAGACCCCTTTCAGTTCAGGCCCTGTGATCACTGGGTGCCCCCACCCTCGGGTCTGCAGGAGTCCCGTCCCGTATGTGTCCTGGACAACGCCAAACCCCGGATACTCCCACATCTTGTCCTGGATGTGGATGGAGCCTCCTTCCCTGATGGGGCTGGAGATGAGGGGCCAGTGTCTCTGACTCTGCCCTGATGGAGTGGATGGCTTTGGGCAAGACACTTCCTAGGAACTCCCACAGGAGGGAGGCTGCAAAGGGTAAGGGGGATGGGATTAGGTGACCCCAGTGATATTTTGAGTGGCGTCTTCTGTGAGGCCTGGAGCCTCCGTCCTGCTGGTGGGGGCCTGGGTGAGGACGGAAGGGTTAATGCTGGGGATGTTCTGCCCAGGCTGCTGGAGCCTGTGTGTGCCCCTCCTTGCCGTGATTAATTCAGTTTGGTAAGGCGGTATTTATGCTGGAAATCTAATCGTCATTTCTGATGGTAGAGGAATTGAAAAATAAATTGAAAGTGTCAGACGATGCATCAGGGTGGGCGATGGAGTGGAAGCGGGGGCCGCCCACCCAGTCTCCCTGTTGGGCAATTTGCGGGCCCAAGAAATCAGCCAACTTTCTGTTTCTACAATTGCAGGATCAAGAACGGGGGCGATGGGGTGAGGTGGGGGGAAGGAGGTATGAGGTGAAGAGAGCAGAGAGATCCCAGTGTGGAGGCAGCATCAGAGCCACAGTCAAGGAGATGGGCTCAGAGTAGGCAGGGACCCGTCCATGGCACCACGGGAGGCTGTGGGCACCGCGAGGCTGGGATCCGGGCTCCCTCCTTCCACCACCAGGCCAAGAAGGACACTGACGGGGTCTGGGCCTCCATGGAGATGGATGCTCTTGGCAGTTCAGCCCCAGGCTCCACCATCTGGGAGCCCCACCTCCCCAAGCTGCCCCTCTGCCTCAGGGAGGGGGCTGGCCACGCGGGAGAGGGGCCACCTTGAGTCTGTCTGGACAATGTGAGCTCAGGTCTCTGAGTCTGCAGGGACTGGGGTCTCCCCGGCAGTGTCTGGCCTCCCCCGACGTCTCCTGGTCCTGATGAGGTCTAGGTCTCCCCAGCAGACTGGACTCTACTGGCGGGGCTGCCTGCCCGCCCTAGTCAGAGGGGCCTCCTTGGGCAGGTCTCTGACTTCACCCCCTAGAGGCTCCTGAGAGCAGGCGTGTGTCTTCTCCAGACTGGGGGCTCCCAAAATCAGGACTGTCCCCCCGACCTGAGGCCTCCCTGAAGATGGTGGATGAGCTTCTCACTGGACCTCAGCTCTTCAGACCTCCTTGAGGGGACAGAGCGGAGGCAGCATTCTGATTACGAGGTGTGTCTCCTTACCTCCCCGAGTGGACTGAACGGGGAGGACAGTGAACTCAGAAGAGGACGCTGAGGGCTATCTGTTAAGGGAAGGTATGTGATCAGGTGATCCTCACTCATACGGCCCAAGAGCTCTTCGCTGGGCCCGAGAAGACAAGAGGAACCAGGTGGGCTCAGCCTCACCCGTGAGCTGGTGCTGGGTGTCGGTACCTGATGTCCCTATGGGAGGGGGTGACCTCGCTGGGCTGTGGGTCTAGGAATCCACACGGTAAGTCCCCTCCCAGGCTGTGGCCAGTGTTTGCTCCAGGGCCAGCCTAGCCTCGGTTCTGCCACTGACCCACCGTGTGACCTTGGGTGTGTCACCCACGCAATCTGCACCGGTGTGGCTCTTGGCCACTGACAAACAACTTCCCAGCCAGCTCCCTGCTACAGGCACCTGCCACTCACCCCGAGGGAGCCCCACCAGGGCAGGGCCCCGTCTCCACTGCCCACCTCCATAACCGTCCTCACACACAGACCAGGGCCTGGCACACAGGAGATGCGCAGGAAATATTCAATATTTCTTGGAGGATTACAAGAATGTGTAAGTAAACAGGACACATCCATGAGGTAGGCGCTTTTATTCCCATTTAACACGGGAGGAGACTGAGGCTCAGAGGTGAAGGGACCCACCCAAAGTCACATAACTGGCCAGAAAGAGGAAGCCGAGGGCTGCTCTTCCAGGGGGCACGAGGACCAAAACAGGGCTGGGGGACAGCATGGATCCCTGGGGAAACAGCTGAGCTGCTGTGCGTGCAGATGAGAAGTCAAATGTTTTACAAGGCTCAGCCCCGACCCGGGAAACTCCAGTCAGCCTGTGGGAAGCCCTGGTGATGGTGGCCTTGGGGAGAAAGAGGAGGAGGGAAGGAAGCAGCTTCATTTGCACAAAGGCCTCACCTCTGCCAATCAACTGGGCTTTCATGGGTGGGGACACCAGGATCTGGCCAGTCACCAGGAGGATGGGGGCAGAGGAGGAAGGTGAAGCAGGGCCAGGTTCTGCCCCTGTGTTCCTGGCTGCTCTTCCCAACCAGGTCTTGCCTCTTTGATGTCCCTGCAAAAGAGTGCCTCACTTTGCAGATGAGGCAGCTGAGGCCCAGAGAGGCCATGTGACTTGCCCAACGTCACACAGCAAGTCCACAGCAGACCCAGAACTGACCAGGCCTGGACTCCTAGCCCAGGGTGCTGAGCCCAGGGCCCATGCTGGGCACCCGCATCTTGTCCTGTCCTCTGCTACTGTCAGCTCCCTCTGCCCCACCAAATGCTCTACCCAGGGCTTAGCTCAGAGCTGCTGAAGACTCCAAGCCTCTTCTCCAGCTCCACCCCTGAGCCCAGACCCTTTGCCCCAACTGTCCCTAGGCACTGGGCCAGGGTGAAATTGATTGGGCTGGTCAATTGGGACTGGCAGATATTGGTGCTGGCAGGGACCCCCAGGAAGCCCCTGGCTCAATCCCCTGGGGCAGCAAGTGGAAGCAGTGGTCCCTCAGCAGCCACACTGTGCCCTCACCTTCATCCCTGAAGCCCCCCAGGGCCCAGCTTGGGCAGCTGCTCCTCTCCCTGCGTGTCACCCCTGCTTCCTGCCTTACTTATCCCCTGACAGAGTTATGTGAATCCAGGTGTAAGGTTTGATTTACAAACCTCCAGGGGAAGGAGGGCAGCCGTCAGCACCTGCGATTACTAAGAGGTCTCAGTGATTTGCTCTGCTGGAAAACGTTTGCTTCTCAGGAGGGATCTTCCAGGCCCTCCCCCTTGAAGGCAGGGACTTCTTGAGGCTTCTCTTTACCAGGGAACTGCCTGGTGGCTTTGTGGGAGTTTTGGGGTGAGGTCAGCCAAAGTGGAAGGAGCCATGAGGACTCCCATGAAGTGAAAAGTGTCTAGACAGGGTGGTTGGGAGGAAGAAGATGGACTTAGGGCTCATCAGGGGCCTGGATTTGAATCCCTGCTTTGTGATAGCCACGGTGTGTGACCTTGGGCAGGTCACTTGACCTCTCCAGGCCTCCACTTCCTCATCTGCTCACTTGGCAAAGTCCCATAATAGGATGAGTGACAGCTTTCTACCGAGGTGATGAGGCTTGGACGAGGAATGTATATAAATTTCTGGCACATAGCAGGGCTCAGGAGAGTTGAGTTCTCCCCTCTATTCCATTTGAGGTCTCCCTTTCCCTGCCCAGACCACCTTTTCTGTGTCCCCCTAGCTTTCCTCCAAGTCCCCTCCCTGCACATGTCTCTCTGCCCTCAGGGAGAGCTGACGCTGTTGGTCTCAAAGATTCCACTTTCAATGTGGGTCAGGAAAGAGAAACAAAGGCTCCACCGCCAGGGCTGGCCTGGCCATCGTGTGCCAGGACATCAGCACAGGTAGTTCATACATCCAGGGGGTGTTAGAAGGCAGCCGCTTCCCTGCTAATGGGTTAATAAATCCACTAACAATGGGTTAACAATTCCAGCAGTTGGAAAAGCCCCTTGGCAGAGTAAGGGGTCTCTGGGGCCCAAAGCTCTGCTGCGATCTAAGGGGTCAGCAGAAGGCTGCGATGTGCCTGATTTCTAATAAATTGAGGCGGGACTGGCAGAGGTGCTGGCCTCGTTAGCACAGATGACTGGGTGGGGGCTGGCGCTGACCACCATGGTGGGAGTGAGCAAGAGGTATTATGACTGTGCCCAGGGATGACCCAGCCTGCTCCACTCTCTCCTGAAGGTATCTCTGGCATCCCCAGGTCTGATGTAGGTGAGATCTCAAATCTGATCAGAAATGAATTAAAGCCGTACTCCATTCTCAAACACATTGCAGGGAGGAGAGTGGGCTCTGGAGTCAGAACTGTCAGCCCCCAGAGGAACACCAGACCTGGGCTGGCCCTGGGAGAATCCTGGCAGCCCCTCTGTCTCCTGAGCCTCAGTCTTCCTATCTGTAAAGTGGGAGTGGTCAACACTCCCTCATTTGTTTTTTGTGGGGTTAAATGAGTGATATGAGTAAAGCCTCTGCAAGTGGTGCCTGAAATGGAGCAAGTGCTCCCCCAAAATAGTTGTTATTCAATTAAGGTGGGCAGAATAGTGGCACCTAAAGAGGTCCACTTCCTAATTCCTGGAATGTTACTTTACATTACATGGCAAATGAAAATAAAGCTGCACATGGAATTAAGGTTGCTATTTAGCAGATCTTAAAAATAGAGGAATTACCTTGGATTATCCAGGTGGGCCCCATGTAATCACGAGGGTCCTTAAAGTGGAAGAAGGCAGAGGAGGAGGTTGGAGTGATGTGGTGTGAGAAGGACTTGAGCTGCCGATGCTGGCTGGCTTTGAGGTGGAGGAAGGGACCACAAGCCTAAGAATCCAGGTGGCCTCTAGGAGCTGGAGCAGGCGAGGAAGTGTGTTCTCCCCAGGAGGCCTCCAGAAGGGACACAACCTTGCAGACACTTTGATTATCATTATCATCATTATTATTATCGAGACGGAGTCTCACTCTGTTGCCCAGGCTGGAGTGCAGTGGTGCGATCTTGGCTCACTGCAACCTCCGTCTCCCAGGTTCAAGTGATTCTCATGCCTCAGCCTCCAGGGTAGCACCACCATGCCCAGCTAATTTTTGTATTTTTCGTAGAGACGGAATTTCGCCATGTTGGCCAAGCTGGTCTTGAACTCCTGACCTCAAGTGATCTGCCCGCCTTGGCCTCTCAAAGTTCTGAGATTACAGGTATGAGCCACTGTCCCCAGCCTATTATTATTTTTAAGACAAGATCTCACTCTGTCACCCGGCTGGAGTGCAATGGCACAATCACAGGTCACTGAAGCCTTGAACTCCTGGGCTCAAGGGATCCTCCCACCTTAGCTTCCTGAGTAGCTGGGACTACGAGCACATGCCACCACACCGGCTAATTGTTTTAAATTTTTTTGTAGAGACAGGAGTTTCACTATGTTGCCGAGGCTGGTCTTGAACTCCGGGCCTCAAGAAATCCTCCCACCTGAACCCCACAAAGTGCTAGGATTATGGGTGTGAGCCACTGTGCACTGCCAGTTTGTAATGTTGAAGCCACTAAGTTTTTGGTAATTTTTTGCAGTAGGAAACTGATTTGTGGAACCATAGCCCAGCTCCATGAGGGTAGAGTTGGGTAAGGTGTGGACTTGTGCACCCAGCCGCCAGACCCAATTCCAGCCCAATCAATTCAACACCAGCTCTGTGACTTGAGGAATTAACCAAAGATTTCTGTGCCTTGGTTTCCTCATCTGTAAAATGGGGGTAATAAATACTACCTCCCTCACGGAGTCTTTGTGTGGATTAAGTGAGGTAATATTTGTAAAGTTCTGGAACAGAGCTGGGCACACAGAAAGCCCTTAATTAAACTCAGAACATTTGGAGTGCGAGGCCAGATTTTTTCAATTTAACATTACTAAAAGTGTTGGAACCCCATGCTATGAACTGTCCTTGTAAACTGGAGGTAGCAGAGAGCAGTGGAGAGGACTGTGGTGTTGGGCAGACCTAAGATCAAATCCCCAGTTCACCACAATCCAGCTGCATGTCTCTGAACACGTCACTTAATTCTCTGAGCCACAATTTCCTCATCCATAAAGTAGGGATGATAACATAATACCTACCCTTGAGGGGTGGTTTGAGGATTGAATGAAATAATCCAGGTAAATCGCTAAGCCCAGGTCCCCAGCACACAGTAGATACTCAAGGAATGATGGCTGCTATTATTATATCATTGCTCTAATCGCTGCTATTAGATCCCAACGACAGAGGAAATACCCAATGGACAAATGCCACCAGGGATGCAGAAATGCTTCTCAGTGTTGTTTCTGTTTCTGTAGTACATGCAGATCATAAAGTGGTGCTTTGCTATGTACCAGGTCAATTCTTCCAGCTGCAAACAGCATATGATACACAATTAAATCTGGGGACCCCTGAGGTTAGCACCCCCAGGAGTTCTGGGCCCCTAGGTTGGGACCCTCAGCTGTGGCTCTAGTCAAAGCCAGTGTGGAGTTCTGAGACTTACATTTAGGGAGACAGTAACAGGGGCCACCTGGGCCCAGGCTCACCTCCTCCTCCCTCCTGCCCCAGCCAGAGCCCAGGGCCCAGGGCAGCCTAAGGCTTTCCCCAAGTTGGGTCCTCCTCCCACTCCTCAGCCCTGAAACCCAGGCTCTCAGGTTTGTGGTTCTCTTTCTCCCCAGTGACTACAAGATCGTCTCACAGGATGGGCTGAGATGACGACTATAATAAAACCGGCTCATTACATCCCTCTACGCAGAGCTGTCTAATGAGCACACACTGGCACTCCCTGGCCCTTTGAGCCAAATGTAAATGAAATATGTTCCATGGTATCATTTAATTAGCTTAGGAAGGTAGAGTGGGATGTGAAGAGGGAGAAGGGGAAGAGGAGAAACGGGTCTTTTTGTAAGCTCTCCAAATCCCCCTTATAGAGAGAGCTGGTTGAGCTGGACTCGTTATTCCCATTGGAAAAATGAGGGCACCAACTCCTACTCTGCACTGTGACAGGTTCTGGGGACACGACGAATGAGAGAGATAGGGTCCTGTCTTCAAGGGGTTTATGCAGAGTGCAGAGGCAGGCATTGAACAATTAACCACTCAAATTTGTGTGCGTGAGTGTTTGAGTGTGTGCACAAATGTGACTTCATATATGTGTGTCTGTGCATGTGTGTGGAGTGCAGTGGAGCAATCACAGCTCATTGCAGGCTTGAACTCCTGGGCTCATGTGTGTGTGCATGTGAGAGTGTGTGAATTCGAGCAGATGAGAATGTCAGAATGTTTATATGAGTGCATATGTATGTGTGTGTATGAGTGAAAATGTGCATGAATGTGTATGTTTTTGAGAATATTTGCGTGAGTGCATGCAAATGGATGTGTATGTGTGTGTGAATGCATGTATGTTTTTGAATGTGCATATGAATGTCTATTTGAGTGCATATGTGTGCAGATGTGCGAGTGAATACATTTATGAGTGCACGTGAATGTTTTGTGAGTGTAAGAAAATATGTATTTGAGTGTACATGTGTGAGTGCACGTGTATGTGCAAAAGTGCATGACAGTGTGACTGTGTGTATGTATGCAGGTATGAGTGTGTGACATGGGAGTGTTTATATGAGTGCATGTTTGTGATTGTGTGTATAAATGGGAGTATGTGAAGGTATCTATGTGAGTGTGTGTGTAGTGTGTATCTGTGAGCAAATGCATGTATGAGTATGTGTGTGTGAAAATGTTTTTGGTGAGTGTATGCATATTTGTGTTTGTGTATGCGTGCAAAATATATTTGTGTGTAAATGCATGCGTATGTATTTTGAGAGTGTTTATGTGAGAATAGATGTGTGTGAATGTGTGTTTATGTGAGCGCGTGTGTTTGTGCGTGTGTATATGCAAATTCATGATTACCCATGTGATATTTAGAAAGAGAAATCTAGTGGTTTCGGGAAAGTGTGGGCTGAAGGGTGACCACCTGGGCTGGAATACCAACTCTGCCACTTCCTGGCTGTGCGCCCTTGGGCAAGTTACTCAATACTCAACCTCTCTGCACCTCAGTTTCCTCATCCCTTAGAGGGATATTGAAATAATTACAGTTATTAATGTATGTAAAGCTCTTAGGACGATGTCTGTACATATTTAGCATTCAGTACATTTTAGCTGTGAGAAAAATGGGAGCTAAAAAGCAGAGGAAAGGGACTGGTGGGCCTTGACTGAGATCACTCTGAAGAAGTGGCACTTTTGCTGAGACCTGCAGGATGAGTCCAGGTGAATGTGTAGTGGGCTTCTGTTTAATCGTTTGCTTGTTCCTGAACCACTTCTCCCCTTCTGCAGGGACCACTCTCGATTTTTCCTGTGAAAACAACTCCATGTCCACTTAGTTCAGCAGATAGGGCTGCCTATCCTCTGGCTCCTGCCATCCAGGCCTGGCCCTTCACTAAACTTCACCCATTGGCTATGTGATTCTTTCAGGAGTGGGCAGATGACCCCATCTCAGCCAATGAGAAACATCCCAGAGACTTTGCTGTTAACTACCGCAGAGGAGGGGCATGTAGCCAGAGTGATGTAAGCCTGACACTACCAGTGTAGCCATTTCTCACCTGCAGGGAGAGCGTGACTGTGAAAGATGCCAACCCCGAAGAGACAGGAAGACCACAGTCTGAAATATTCTTTGAATCCCCGGATCCAGCCATGCCTGAAGCTATGCACACCTGGATTTTTCAGGTGAATGAACAAAATAATCTTCCCTTTTTATTTCTTTTGTTTAAACAGGATTCATTTGGTTTTTGTCCCTTCAATTGTAAGACTCTGAAGGATATTGCACGTTCCTGAGAGAGGGCACAGCCTATAGGGAGAGAAGCACTGCAGTGTTGTCAAGAAGCTAAAATCATGCCAGTGTGGCCAAAGCAAGGGAGAGGACGGGGAGTGCCTTTGTATCTGGACTCAGAGGTGCCCAGAGTCTAAGCACAATAAATTGGGCAAGTGAGAGTGGGAGTGGGGGAGATAATGTAAGAACTAAAAGCCTTGACATGCTCAATGTGCTCTTTTTGAGTCCTCTTCCAGGCTGCCCCAAAGTCCTCACTTCTTACCAAACCCCCATCTTGACTCTATCCACCCCCGAGTCCTGCATCCAAGACCGGGAACAGATAGGGCTTATTGGGGCCATAAAGGCCATTTAGTGTAAAATCTTTTTAAATTTCATTTTTATTTTATTATATCATTTTTGTTTTATTTTATTATTTTCTTTTATTGTTTTATTTATTTTATCAAATAATACATGGACACTTTCTCTTGGTAAAAAGATAAAATCTAATAATGTGGAAAAAGCAAATCGCATCATTTTACAGAATGGGAATGGGGTCTGGGTAGTTCATATAGTTCACATGAGGTTATATAACAAATTTTTCCGGCATCTGGGGTGAAGGAGGTCTTCTTAATCTTTTCCATCTTATGCAAAATAGCTCTTGGGAGATAATAATACTGACCACCATAATAATAGCTAACTTTTTAGTACTTACCATGTGCCAGCCACTATGTTAAGCTCTTTACTTTCTTTAATTTGAATTTGTCCTCACCACAATCCTATGAAGTAGCTACCATTATTTTTCTCATGACAGATAAGGCACATTGCACAGAGGTTAAGTAACTTCTCCCAAAGTCACAGCTTGTGTGGTGCAACCAAGACGGGAACACAGGCAGTTTGGCTCCAGAGCCCATGCCATCACTCCTGCTAACAATGTAAAGTTTGCAAGAGTAAATTTCTCTTAACCAGATAATTTTACCTAGAAGACAGAGGGAAATGAGCGATCCTGGGACTATGAAGAGAAAGGTCCTTTAAGGTCCATCAGAGCACTCCATGGTGCTGAAACAACTGACCCAGGACATCGCACTTCCCTGGCTCATTTCTCAGCCTGTCCCTTCCCTTCCCTTCCCTTCCCTTCCCTTCCCTTCCCTTCCCTTCCCTTCCCTTCCCTTCCCTCCCCTCCCCTCCCCTCCCCTCCCCTCCCCTCCCCTCCCCTCTTCCCTTCCCTCCACTCTCCTCCCCTTTCTTTTCGACAGAGTCTCCCTCTGTGGCCAGGCTGGAGTGCATGTGGCTCAGTCTTGGCTCACAGCAACCCCTGCCTCCCAGGTTCAAGTGATTCTCCTGCCTCAGCTTACTGAGTAGCTGGGATTACAGGCGCACGCCACCATATCCAACTAATTTTTGTATTTTTAGTAGAGACGGGGTTTCACCGTGTTGGCCAGGATGGTCTCGATCTCCTGACCTCATGATCTGCCTGCCTCAGCCTCCCAAAGTACTGGGATTACAGGTGTGAGCCACCGTGCCTGGCCTCTCAGCCTGACTTCTACAGCTGAGAAATCAGGTTTACCACTTCCTCAAGTTTACCTGTGTAAACATCAGATGTACCTGTGTTCAGCTCTTCACAATATAGTCCATTGATAGTCCCATCTCTCACTCCATCCCACTTGAGAGAAATCTGACTGAGGCTGAAAGTTGTGAAGCTACAACTCCCCATCCACACACATATACTCACATGCATCTTGTAACAACACTGTCTCTGCAGAATTAGGGGCCATGTAGAAAACAGGGACCCTAACAAGGAAACCTACAAGCATACTGACACCAAGAGTACCTGTTGTCATCATGTGACTCAAACCCCATATTTTTCTATTTGTTGTATTAATATATAACTTGCATATGGTAAAATATATAAATATTAAGTGTACATGTGGTAGGTTGTAAAATAACCATAAATTCTTTCCCTTCTGCATTCGTACTTTTGTGATTTGGCATTTCAAATCCTTCCATCAGGAATGGAAGTTTATTTCTCCACCTCTTCAATCTGGGTTGGCCAATGGACTTGCTCTGGCCAATCGAAACACTAACAAAGAGTAGACACACAGAGGCTTTTGAATTGCTTGCCCATAAGGTCTTTCTCTTTTTTGCTGAACTTGGAGACATGGAATGAGTCTGAGCTGGCTTGATGGAAGGTCAGAGACCATATGGAAAAGAATGAAGGTGCTCCAGCTGATAGCTTGCCGAATATCAAATGTGTGAGTGAAACCATCCTTAAATCATCCAGCTGTAATCTGCAATACTAGTGGACCCTAGACTCAGGAGAGATGACCTGAGCTAGACTAGACCCGATCAATTGCACAGACAGCCATTAGAATTGTGAGCTAAATAAATGGCTATTTACCACCCAATTTGTATTTTGAGCAAAAGCTGATGGAGATAGCTCTATGAACTTCTACACAGATGTACACCCATGTAACCACCAGCCAAATCAAGACAAAGAACATTTCTAGCATCCAATAAAGTCTTTGTTTCCTTTTCCAGTCAATCTCCCAACCCTGAGAGATGTTCATTGTTCTATAATATCACTATAGACTTGTTCATATTAATGGGAATGTAAAGGATGTGTCTTTTGTGGCAGATGTTTTTTGTTGACCCTGTCTGTGATATTCATATATGTTCTATATATGTCTAATATATGATGTTTTATATATATATCTACATATATATGTAGTTTGTTTATTTTTGAAAAATTCTGTGTATTTCAATTTTATCACTCTTCACAATATATTTATCCATTCTCTCATAGATGGACATTTGGGTTATTTTCTTTTTAAACTATTATAAATAAAGCTTCTATGAAAATTTACATATAAGTGATTTGTGGATATATATACTCAATTTTCTTGGACATATCCCGTTACAGGGTGAATTGTGTTTCCCCACAAATTTGAATGTTGAAGTCCTAACCTCCAATACCTGAGAAGGTTACGATCTCCATATTTGGAGAGATGGCCTTCAAAGAGGGATTAAGCTAAAATGAGGTCACAGGATGGGGCCTTGTCCAACAAAAGGACACAGAGAGAACATGACCACCTACAAGCCAAGAGAAGAGACAGAAGAAACTCACTCTGCCAACACCTTGGTCCCAGATTTCTGGGCTCAAGAACTGAGAGACCATGAATTTCTTTTATTTAAGCCTCCCAGTCGTGTGTCTTGTTATGGCAGCTGGAACTGACTGACAGAGCTCTTAATGTATGTTAAACACCAACTAGGTGCCAGGTTAAGAGCTTTACCCATCTCGTTGTGTTCTCAACACCCCATGAAGAAGATGCCAATAAGATCCCCATTTTACAAATGAGGAAACAGAGGCTCCAAGAGGTTTAACAAATTGCCAGGTTTGTATAGTTAGTACTGTTAGATTTCTGCATGATTAACTTATTGCAGCTCAGTACTAACTACAGAATCACTTGTGTGATGGTTTGTTTGATGTTTTTCTCTTCCTTTATACAGTGAGCCCCATGAGGGTGGGGGTGGGGTCCATCTCTTGACTGTGGTACTCCAATGCCTATCACAGCCGACATGCAGCTTGACAGCTGACTTGAATTCCTGGGGTCTCCACCACTCCCACTTCCCACCATCTCCTGTGATTCCAAGGGTCTGTGATG
The DNA here is from genome assembly GCF_000001405.40 of Homo sapiens. Lineage (NCBI taxonomy): Eukaryota > Metazoa > Chordata > Mammalia > Primates > Hominidae > Homo > Homo sapiens. The sequence continues at coordinate 10,967 of NT_187514.1, read as the reverse complement.
GAGGGTGGGGTGGGGGCTGCCAGGCAGGGTGCTCGCCTCTCTGCAGACAATTTGGGGAAGATTGTTTCCAGAAAGAGCAGCCGTGATTAACTCAAATGAACTGTAAAATTGTTTTTGGTTTAAAGGCTTTGCTTACTGAGGTATCGAGTGGTAGAAGGGATGGGTGTGGGAGGGAGGGGCCAGCTGCCAGTAGGGCTGCCCCCTACTCCTCAGTCAGCAGACCCTGGCCAAGCGTCCACCATGTATCGGGTCCCATGCTGGGCTCTGGGGCCCAGAGACAGGAGAGACCCACGTGGTCCTGGGGAGCTCACAGCCCAGGCCCCATGGGGAGACTGGGAAATGAGTAGTTTCAGAACAGTCAGGCGAATGCTCGTGCAGGGGAAACAGGAGTGTGGAGGAGGGGCCCTGAACCTGGGAAGAGGTGCCTGGGATGGGCAGAAGCGACCTCATGCAAATGACCTGACTCAAATCCCAGCTCCACCATTTACTTCCCAGATGAGAGCCCTTGGCCAGATGCTTCATGTGTGAACCTCAGTTTTTCTTCTGTAAAATGGGGATGGATAATAGCTATCCCTGCAGGGTTGCTGGGAGTGTTAAATGGGATAACCACGTAAAGCCCTTAGCACAGTGCCTGGCACACAGTCAGCTCTCAGTACACACCAGCTGCTGTTGACCATCGAGCAGGGCTGTGCAGAAAGCTGGCATCAGGCAGGCCTGGGAGAGGGTGTTTCGGGAAGATGGCCCAGCACACACAGAGGCCTGCACACAGCTGACTCTGTGTGGCGAGTGTAAGACGAGAGTGGGAAAGATGGGGCTGCAGAGGTCCATGTGGCTGTTTCACAAGGGCCCTGCAGTCCACACTGTTGTTGGGATTTTAGTCCTCAGAGCAGCGGAGCCATGGAAGGGCTTTGAGAGGGGGCATGGCCTGTTCATGTTGGCTGCAGCCTGTGAACTGCAGGGGGAGGGTCTGGGTCCAGGAGACTGGAGCAGCTGTGCAGTGTCTGGGGAGAGAAGATGGTGCCCTGGACTGGGTGAGAACAGTGTAGACAGGGGTATGGAGGGAGACCCCAAGGGGGCAGGGCTAGGAGACCCCCAGCAGGGGCGGCAGGGCAGCAGCAGCTGAGGACAGGCCCAGGCCCAGCGTTCCGAAAGGAAGGTGGTGCTGAGCTCCAGGAAGGAGCAGGTGTCTGGGGCTGGGGATTCTGTGCCTGTTGGAGGGAAGTGCCAGCTTGGCCATGGGGGAGCGACTGGGACTGCAGACCCTTCAGCCTCCCTCAGGCTGAGAGAGGGGCTGCCCAGACCCCCTTCTTCCAGCCAGGCCCTCCCTGAGCCCCACAGCTGGTCTGGCCCAGCCTGGCCCTGCAGCCCCCTCTGTGGGCACTCAGGCTGCATCCAGCCCACGCAAACTGTAAAACTCTATGTAGTTTAAAGGCTTTGGAAACCAGGATATTGGTGGTACACTGGCTGGGGCTCTGGGGGGCTGTCCATGTGACCCCCTCACCTCAGCCCAAGCTGCTTCAGAAGGTGAACTTGAGCACTTCACACTGTGCCTTTCCCCTCCCCTCATGGAGAACATCAGCCTCTTTAATGCAGGGGCGCAGGGCGGTGGCCTCCCCCGCAGTCAGGACCGCAGAAGCCCAAACCAGGAGAGGGTCAGGGACAGTGGGAGACAGAGACAGATGGTGACAGGGACTTGGTGACAGAAGGAGCCAGTGATGGGAGAGAGGCAGAGGGAGGCCTTGGGACAAGGCAGCCCCCCCCACCCAGAACCTGGGCCCTGGGGACTTTCTTGGGGGTAGGGAGTCATTGGGGCTCAGATGACCCCCCTGCTCTGTGGTTAATTTTCTCAGAGAAAAGAAATCACTCTCCATACAATTAATCTAGTTAGACATAATCAAGTTGTGGGGAATCCGTGCAGCAGGGTGAGTGATTAGGAAAAATTACCTCCCTGCAAAGAATTTAAATTTCATTTTTATTCAATAAAGACCAAATAGAAACAATTGGGTTCCCTACTGTTCCTGGCCAGCAGCTGAAAATTTTCTAGAATGGGACATCAGCTCAGAGTCCAGCAAGGACAGGCTGGGGACACAGAAGATCTGCTAGGAGTCACCCACAGGATCTGGGCGTTGCCCGAGGGGAGAGCCACCGCCACGGCCCTCAAGTGTTTCTCACACTCACACTCTGAGACTAAGGCACATGTTCTCACGCACTCTGCATTTGTGTCCTTAACTGTCACACACACCATTTCACATGCATGCACTGACAGTCAGGAGCTCTGCTGAGTCCCGATGCCTGTCCCAGCTCTGCCACCAACTGGTTGTACAAACACTGAGCTCCCTCTTAGAGCCTCGGTTTCCCTGCCTGTGACAAGTGAGACTTAGACTCCTTTTCTGGAGCATCTACCAAAGGTGACAGCTTGGAATTTTTCTCTCTCTCAGCCTCTCTCTCCTTATTTCAAATTGAGACTGAGTCAGAAAAAATAAAGTCTGGGAGGCGGCAGCCCAGGGGAGTTCATAAGGTGATTCTCATTATCAAGGGAGGCCTCCCCTCCATTAGCAAACTGGGGACTCATGCAGCAGCCCTAGCTTAGCCCCAGGGCCTGGGTCCAGGGCCTGGGGGAGCAGAGAGGGCTTTGCTGACCTCACATGCACATGCACACACACCTGGACCCCACCTTTCATGCTGAGCCATGTTGCCACCACCTCCAAGGAATGGGGTTTATCAACCTGTACCAGTCCCAGGGCCAGGCCCATGTCCCCGCAAGGCTAGGACCAGCCTCCACCCTCTGGGTCCTCTCATATTTCTCTGAGGATGGAGCTGATGAGGGATCAGTCCAGGAAGGTGAGAGAAAAATCATTTGGAGCCAGAGCTGAAGATGCATTAATTTATGTTCTGTTGCTTCTCCAGCCAGAGCTGGACAGTTTGGGGAAGTGAGTGGTCAGGGGGCTGGTCAGGGGCTTTGAGCCCCCAGGTGGAGGAACAGGCTGGAGGATGGGCTGAGCAGGTGGGCATGTCACCGAGGGGTGACATAGGATCCTGCCGGCTGCACGTTGTCCCTCCCCTCCCTGCGTGGCTGTGGCTACAGAGCCCACCTGCATGACCAGAGGCTCCAGGGCAAAGGGCCAGTCCTGCCCCAGCAGTGGGAGCTTAAAAGGTTCTGGGGCAGGGAGTGTCGGGGGGCGGTGGGTGTGGATCTGGGGACTGGCCTAGTGTTGAATCCCAGCCATTGGCTCACTGAGTGACCCTGAGCAGCTTCCTCCTCTTCTCTGGGCCTCAGTTTCTTCATCTGTCAAATGGGGCAAGGATCCTGCCTAGGGTGACATGTGGGCTCCCCTGAGCACGGGAGGGGCATCTGCAGGCGCTCAGTGCATGTTTGTTCCTGTACCCTCTGCAGCCCTGCAGCACCTGGCTCCAAGTCAGTGCCCAGCAAATACTCGTGAGCCTGGTGAGAGAATGAAATGAGCTCATGTTTGCGTCTGCACTCACTGCAGCAAACTCTAAAGCTGTGTTGGCAAATTGAACAACCAGCAGTCTCGCTGGGTAACACGCTTGGGGTTTGGCTGTCAGACATCAAGGAGGAATTCCTGGAGGAGGCTTGCCTTGGGCTGGGCAGGAATTGAATAGAGGAGGGGAAAACAGGTGAGGAGGAGAGACAGCCTGTGCAAAGAGGAGAGGGGCCAAGGTGAGGCCACGTCCTCTCTTGTGCTCTCTGCCAATGGCTGATGGGAAAGAGTTTGGGTTTGGAATCAGACAGATCTCAGTTCGACCTGGACAGGTCCCTCTGTATGCGGAGCCTCCGTGCTGTCAGCTATGAAGTGGGGGGAACATCACCCCTTCCCCACAGGGTGGTTGTGAGGCTGGCACAGGCATTTTGTATGTGTGGAGCCCCAGCACAGTGCTGGGCATCCAGAGACGCTTGATACCAGGGGCTCCCCACCTCTGCCAACTCATCCAGGTCAGCTGCTCCCCCTCTGCCCTACAGGTGGCCTCCCCACCAGGTCACGTGTGGTCTGAGCAGGGAACAGGCTTTGGTGCAGGGACCTGGGGGGTTGAGGACACGCCACCCCTCTTGGAGAAGACCACCAGGCTCTACCTGGAGGAATGGAGCCCATCCAGCCCCCACCCTGTAGGAATCCAGCAAACAGAGAGGTCAAGGGAGTGGCCCAAAGTCACCAGCCCCAACCCAGCCTCTAAGTGCTCTGCTCTCTAACCAGCTCTGGGGTAGGTGGTGGGGGCACCTCCAAACACCTGGATCAAGAGCCTCAAGGATTCTTCTCTGCCCTCTATCTTCCCTCTTTCCTCACATTCACTTGCTCCCAAGGCTGTGAAAAGCCAGGGTCCCTGGGAGCCCAGGCCAGTGATCTGCAGAGCCGTCTGGCTGAGGCCTTGGCCTGTGCTGGGAAGGAGAGGGTTAAGGCTTGAGAAGCCCTTCTGGTTAGTGTTTAACTTGCAGTTTCTGAAGGCCATCGGGAGCCCCATGGAGCTAATGTTTTCTGTCTTAATGACACTGTAGCAGATGAAGGCGGGACCCACCTCCCAGAGAGCATTAAAAAGAGGCATCCATTACCCAGAATGGCCTGGCCTAGAAGCTGGATTAACTTTCCCAAAGACCTGGGTGGAGGAGGGGTCTTCTCATCCTTGTCATCAGCAAGTTTTCCCTGTCCCCATGGTCCAAGATTTGGGAGGTGAGCATGGATGCCCGGATACCAAGCTGGGAGAACACTGATGCAGGCTGGGATTCAGCTCAACATGAGAAAGATCTCCCAGTCCCAGTGGGCCACAGGCTGACAGCCATTCACTTCTGTGGGCTATATTATTTTTAAAGTTGACTCAGATGTTGGTCCCTTGTCCCTTTGGATTGATAGAAGGGCTCTGGGGATGCAGCAATGATAACCCGATGTAGAGACTGTTCCAAGTCCTGTCTCAGTTTTTGCATTTGGTTCAAAGGCAGGCGGTGCCAAGAATATGCACTTAGCTTGTGGTTAGGAGACATGGGTTCAATTCAGCCTCTGTGAGCTTGGCAATGACCACAAATATCATTGCTTGAACACCTTCTGTGTCCAGTTTGTACCAGACACTTTCGATCTGCTCTCTCATTTCACCCCCTCCTGGGAGGCAGGTGTCTCTATCCTAACCTCCTGTGTAAGAGGATGAGGCTCAAGAGGAGCAGAGTTGGGATTCAAACCCAGGTATGTCTGCTTATGCTCCTTTTACTGTAATATTCATGCCCTCTGAGCCCCAGCTTCTTCATCTGTACAATGGGGTGACAATACCTACCACAAACAGCTCACAGAGTAGTTGGATAGTACCAGTGAAATATGGGTGCACGAACACACACACACGTGCATACACACACGCACACACACATGAACACACATGATTGTGCACCCAGGAGACACCAGTCAGTTACTATCCAGGGATGAGAGGTGTTACACAGGGGTTTTTCTGCATTGAGCTTTATTTCTTTATCCACCAAGATCTAATTAATTTAGCATCTAAGAGGCACTGATACCCAGCTTGAGAGTGGATAAATTTCACTGCATGTGTAAAACATCCTAGAATGCCCATACTTTTGACCTAGCAATTCTACTATCAAGAGAGAGGTCTGAGCCTCCATGATTACGTACAAGAATCTCACTACTGTGTTACGGTTAACAGCAAATATTTGGAAGCAAATTGTCCAGTAGGGGAATATTTGATGTCCGTGTGATGGAATATTATGCAGCCAATAAGAGTCATGTTTGTGAAGCACATTTAATGACACTGGAATGGACGAGCAGAACCAATACCTGCCGTATCACATGCTCATCATGGAGGCATCTCTAAGATGACAGGCGATTTTTATTTCTTCTGCTTCTTCTTCTGCATTGAATCAATCTCTTTAAAAATGGATGATAAAATGTACCTTGCATTCCCGTTTCTGGAAAGGGCACTGTGGAGCATAATTTAAGCTTTGCTCTGTGCCCTCTGAGTCTCACTGTCACCCCTATGTCCTCTAGCCCCGGAGGATCCCCAGAGGACTGGAGCCCAGCCTGTAGCCCGCCTTCTCCTGGAGTTCTCTCACCTGCCTTCTGGTGTTTTCTGGTCTTCTGGGCCCCAGATGTCTCTTCTCGCTGGTATTCATGTAGTACCTTCCAGCAGGACCCACTCCTCCTAGCGCCCTGCCACTAACCTGTTGTGGTTGGACAACCAACTCACCGGGCATATGAGAACCACGCCTGCAGTAGAAGCCTCTCATCTCTGAGTGAGGGAGCACCTCTGTTTACAAAAACAAAAAACTTGTGCTTGTAGACATGGTCCATGTGACTTGCATTTTGGTAATTCTAGGGCTTTTTGGGTATTTGTGTTCCATTCTAGATAGCTGAAGCTGCCAGATGCCTGGATAAGTGAGATATGGTTCAAGATGAATATACAGCTGTAGCACATTCTTACATATTCACTTATTCGGTCAACTAATATTTATTTGAAGCCCTACTCTGTGCTAGAAAGAGATCCTGGGGATACAGCAATGGAAAAGGTAGACAAAGGTTCCTATGAGGGAGACAATAAATGAATAAACAAATTAAGTAATAAGGCAAGTAGTGATGATGACTACAGAGGAGCTAAAACAGAGTGATGGAGCAAAGAAAGACCAGCCTGGGAGGAGGGCAGCCAGGCTCCAGGAATCCAGTTGTATTACACAGGCATTAGCCTGCTCCATGGCAGGCTTTATGCTGGTGCAGGCTCTATGCTGGGGCAGGCTCTGGGTGCAGGCACAGCTGAGTCCACACCCTGTCAGTTCAGCCACCCAGTGGAAAGAGAGTCTCCCATTCCTAGGTGCTCCAGCAAAACTCCTAGGGCTGTTGCTCTTTAGCTCAGAGTGGGGCAGCTTGGGCCATTGGCCTGGGACTGCAGTGCTCTTATTGATCAGGCCTGGTCAAATGCCCACTCCTGAAGCCAGGGACTCAGGCAGCCTCACTTGGGCCATTTGAACTGAAGGGGGTGGAGAAGGGTCACTCCCTAATCAAAAATTAATGTGCTGGGACCAGAATAGGCAAAGACACATGGCCTACTTAAGAATATCGCTTCTCTCTCTCCTGTATCCTCAAATTTTTCCCTTTTATTCAATCCCTCCCATTAGCAGACAAACAGCATGCAAATATTTTTCCCATTTAAAAGAGAAGCGGCCGGGCGCAGTGGCTCATGCCTGTAATCCCAACACTTTGGGAGGCTGAGTTGGGTGGATCATTTGAGGTCAGGAGTTCAAGACCAGCCTGGCCAATATCGTGAAACCCTGTCTTGACTAAAACCACAAAAATTAGCTGGGCGCGGTGGCACACGCCTGTAGTCTCAGCTACTTGGGAGGCTGAGGCAGGAGAATCACTTGAACTGGGAGGTGGAGGTTGCAGTAAGCAGAGATCACACCACTGCACTCTAGCCTGGGCAACAGAGCAAGACTCTGTCTAAAAAAATTAAAAAAAAAAAGAATTAAACCTCTTGACTCCTTATTCCCTTCCAAGTCCTGCCGCATTTCTCTGCTCCTCTCCTAAGCAAAACCCCTCAAAATGTTGCCTAAGCTTGCTCATTCAACTGCTGTCTTCCTTCTTCTCTCTTGAATTCACCCTATTAGGTTGGTGTCCCCATCTGCTCACCAAAATGGCCCTTGCTGTGGTCACCAATGACCTCCTTGTTGCTAAATCCAACAGAGAAGTCTCAATCCTCATCTGGCACACATGTGATCACTCTTTCCTCCTTGCCTTCCGGAGCAACCTGCCCTTTCTGTTTTCCTCCAACCTTACTGGCCTCTGCTTCTGTCTGCTGATTCCTCTTCTTCTCACCAGTCTCTAAGTGTGAGGCAGGAGAAAGAGAGAGAGGGTTTTAAAATGAGTCGCAAAGTTCCACCCCACTGTCCTTCTCACTGTTCCTCACGTAGGCCAGGCATACCCCCACCACAGGGCCTTGGCATGGACTGTTCTCTCTGACTAGAATATTCGTCCCCCAAATATCTGCATGATTCATTCATTCATTCACCTTGTTTCAGTCTTTGATCACAATGTCACCTTTCCTGGCTCCATTATTTAATACTACGCTCTCCTCATTTTTGCCTTCTGTCTTCCCCTCTCCTGTGTTTATATCCTAAATTGCTCTTATTACCATCTTGGCATACTATGTATTTGACCTATTAGTATATTGCCCAGCTCCTCCACCAAATATGTCAAGAAGAGCAGTGATATTGTCCCTCTTGTTCAGTGCTGAATCCCAGCACTTAGGACAGTGACCAGAATATAATAGGTGCTCAATAGTATTAGATAAATGAATGAATGGATGAATGCTTATTATATTTATTTTCTTTTTCAAGGAGCTGGACATATAGAGCTGAGAAAGACAAGACCCCTACCCTTGTAGAACTCACAGTTTTGTAAATGCACCTACAAGTGGCCCTTGGGATGGAATAGGCCAGAAGCTCTTAAGAGCCAGACACTGCTAGAAGAGACAGACAGGAGAGAGATGAGGGAAGTGCTGCATTTTTGCTGCAGGAGTTGATGTGCAGGCCATGACAGCTGGGTGGCTCTACTGAGTGGAAAGGGAAGGGAGTCCCAACGGTGCCTCATTCAGAGAGCACCTACTGCATGCCAGGTTCCTTAGCTTTCATCACTAGCCAATACAGGGAGAATTATTAGCCCTTCTACAGTAAATGGAAGCTCAGAGAAGGACAGCAACTCTTCAGGCAACCTCCTGGCTGATGCCACCACATTGATTTGACTTTTACCTTGTCTTAATTCAGATAGATTTAAGTTGGCTGTCAAAACTACATATTAAGCAGGTTAAGTGCAGTGGCTCATACCTGTAATCCCAGCAGTTTGAGAGGCTGAGGTGAGAGGGATCACTTGAGGCCAGGAGTTTGAGACCACCCTGGGAAACACAGGGAAACCTCACCTCTACCAAGAAAAAATAAATAAATAAAAAATAAAATAAAATAGTAAAAAAGAAGGAAAGAAAAAGAAAAGTCAGACATTGTGGTGTGTGGCTGTTATCCTAGCTACTTAGGAGGATGAGGCAAAAGATCACTGGAGCCCAGATTGCACCACTGCACTCTAGCCTGGATGACAAAATAAGACTTTGTTTCTAAAGTGAATAAATAAAAATAAATAAATAGCTTATGAATGTTGATATTGGCAGAGTAGTTTATATTGGACTAATTATAAACTCTAGACAAAATATTTTTAAAACACTTATAAGACTATTTTTTTGAAGAAAGTGGAGAGCAACCCAAACTCAGCAGAAATTTAGGGGCTATGGCCTTGGAAAGAAGAGAACCACACTGGGTGAGAACTACCTTAGTTATTTTTTCCTCTGAGGGTGAGTCCCTCTACTGTTCATAAAGAAAGCTGCATTCTGAGTGGTTTGAAGAGTCAGAGGACAGAGTATGGGACTGCTAAATGGCTGGAGATTAAGGACAATTCCAGAAAGGAGGGCCACAGAGAGACATCTCCAAATTCTGTATATAAACTCCCTTCAGATATTTGGATACCTCTTGAACTGACATGTGCAGGCAAGACTTTAAAGAACCCAAAGGGAGAGCAACAGCTGGAAAGATGGAATTGCTGAGCAAAGATTTCAGAATCCACCCAATCCAGGGAGACAGAATGTGGATTCAGAATTCTACAAAGTGTGAGGGCATGGCAATAAATCCCCAGAATGGCAACACATTAGAAGTAAAGACTACATCTTATAATAGAATTATTCATTTTTAGATCAGGAATAAACCTGAAATAGAGCTTTCCACCAAACAAAGCATAAAGTCAGGAATCCAAAAGTTAAAGGTTATCTAATAATAATTTAACCACTGGCCAAAAAAATTGTTATTACTCTTCAGGGAGATAATAAAACCAAGTCTCTAGAGAGTATCATCAAAATGTTGGGCTGGGCATGGTGGCTCACGCCTGTAATCCCAGCACTTTGGAAGGCCAAGGCAGGTGGATCACCTGAGGTCAGGAGTTCGAGACCCACCTGGTCAACACATTGAAACCCCCTCTCTACTAAAAATACAAAAAATTAGCCAGGCGTTGTGGCAGGTGCCTGTAATCCCAGCTACTTGGGAGGTTGAGATAGGAGAATCACTTGAACCTGGGAGGTGGAGGTTGTGGTGAGCCGAGATCGTGCCATTGTACTCCAGCCTGGGCAACAAGAGTGAAACTCCATCTCAAAATTAAAAAAAAAAGTCCAGCATACAATAAAAAATGGCTAGACAGGTGAAGAAACAGGAAAATGTGACCTATAGTCAAGAAAAAAATCAGCCAGTGAAAAAGAGCCACAGATGACAAAGATGTTGAAATTAGCAGACAATGACTTTGAAATAACTATAATAAATATGCTAATCTACAGCAAAAGATGGCCAAAACTTGAACAAATTGAGCAACAAAATAAATAATCATATTGGATTATAACCACCAAAATAAAATAAATATCCATAAGTCCATGCTGATATAAATGATTGAATAAATTACTAAATTGTGGAGAAGAGGCAAATTTATTGTAAAGAAGAATTCCCAATAATTTATGTAGATACTCTTCCCCTCAACGATGGAGCATAACTCCCCACTCCTTAAATGTGGACTACTCATAATGACTTCCTTCCAGAGACTACAGTATGGAAAAGAGGAGCAAAAGAGTAACTTTACAGTGGAGAAACCTGAGAAACATGACTTCAGCCAGGAGACTAAGGTCAGCATCAATAATCATCAATCATGTTGATAGTCTGTAGCCTTGATATGATGTGAGTGGAACTTTACATCCGTGATCTTCTTCCTTCAAACCTAGCCTCCAGTCTAACTGATGAGAAAAACATCAGAAAAACTCCAAGAGGGCCATCCAACTATGTACTTGACAAGCAGTCCTCAAAACTGTCAAGGTGATCAAAGAAACTGTTACAGTCAAGAGGAGCCTAAGGAGACAGAACAGCTAAATGCATGTGGTATTCTGGCTGG